>NC_000004.12:155285017-155588047 GCF_000001405.40 Homo sapiens | reverse complement strand
GTGTCATGTCTTACCAGAATGGGTCTGCCTGAGAAATCCTGCTATACTTAGTCATTGGTTAGGAGCAACCACAATGGCCAATGTAGAGAGACAGCAGCAGTGGCCATCAATCAAGCATGCTTCCTGCAAGAGATGAGAGCAGCACATTTTGATGGCTGCCATGCATGGAAACACTGAGGGAGATTTCCTACCAAACTGTCTTTTGGAAGGCTTGTTTACACAAAATTTCTAAAAATACATGTGATTATAGTCATGTTAGTTTAAAAATTGTTTTCTAAGTTAACACATTGATTGTTATGTCTTATTTGGCATAGGTATCGCTGATCTAGTGGTGATAAAGTTTTGCTTCCTGTGTTTGTTTTTCTAAAATCAAAATAAATTATTAAACTTTTGCTAGAAAATGTGAAAACGAAGGGTAACATACTGCTTATAAATGGCAGTGATGGCATCTTTTCCAGAACTGAACTGCACACTACTTACTTAAGCTACATCAGTGGAACAGGCATTTCTTCTCTCATTAGTAATCTGTGATGCACAGTTGATAGCTTACCATAAAAGACTAGTTAGGGTGTAAACACCTGCACAATGTCTTTAATGTTCATAACCAGGCAGTATGCCTCTGAAATCCAGAATATCCTTCATTCTCAAGGCCTATTGCTGTTGCATTTCAACAAGCAAGGCCATTTGAATCAGGAGGATATATTGCCTGTGTTACCAGATTTATTTAGCAAGCAAGTGGAAGATGATTTGACTGATGCAACCTTCTCCAGGGACAGAAAGCAAAAACATGAATACACTGTTGTTAAGATATTGCAAAGACCTGTGGGCTATAGGCTGACAATGCTTTATGTCAAGATCATTGGTTTTCTCCACAAAAAAAGTCTTAAACCTTGGAAGTTAGGAGTGGGATTTAGGAAATTCTCTATCATGTCCGGCCTGTGTTAATTAGGATCAAATTATGTGGGCCTCTGTAGCCTGGGATAAACTCAAAGCCTGGGTTCAATGAAGATATCCCGACTCACTGTTATGTGGCTTGAAATTACCATGGACTTCGTTTTTGTTGTTGTACTTGGATAACTGACATTTAAGTAGTCAGCTTCCTCCAGAAGCTTCTAAGGCATCCTAGTATTTATTCAAGATATGAAAAAATTATGCCTACAATGGCTGGTGCCTATAAAATCTTGCAAAAGCACTGACTTTGAATATTTGATTTTTTTCTTCCTTTAGAAAGATAACATTTATAAAAAGGGTATATGAATAGATAGGATTACCAAAGATAAGGTAAATAAAAGCATAATTCCTAACACCATGAAAGAATATTTTCAAGTTATTACAAAGTTTAAAAACTGAGGTTTAAACAAGAAAGACACAAGGTATGATATCTTTATGAGTGAGACCAATAGCTCTCTGGTGGCCTAAATATTTGCCTTCCTAGTCAGTGACTGGATTTCCATGACTGTTACCCATCTTTTTAAACTAAGCACATATTTATTGCAAGCCAACTATGTGCTAAGCACTATTGAAGGAGCTAGAGATATAGCCAGGAAAATAAGTCCCTGCCTTCTTGAAACTTATTTTATAGCTAGAGAAAAGGGTTAATCAAACATATAAGTAAATATATCATATGCCAATAATTATTAAGAGCTGTGGGAAAAAATAAAGCACAGTAAGGGACCAGGTAGTGGGGAAGAGGGAGAGGGGCAGCATGGATACTGCTTCCTCTTTCCTAAAGAATTGTCATGGAAGGGCTCAGTGATAAGGTGACATTTCAGCAGATAACTTCATGAAATGAGGGAGTAAGATACACATATATCTGAGAGAAAAGCATTACAGGAAGAGGAAACATCAAAGGCAAAAGCCCTCAGGTAGGGGCTTGACTGAGAAGTCAAGGAACATTGAGAAGGCCAATGTGGCCAAAGGGAAGTGAACAAGGGGAATAGTGGTAGAAGACATTGTGTGATAAAAGAGATGCATGTGATTTATTGAATAAAACATCCCTAGGTATTCCCTGGTTTTATTGAACTTGTAGGTCAGGGTGAGAAATCTGTCCATGATATTTTGGAAGAATTTGAAGCATGACCTGCATGGCAAACTAGGAAGGCAAAGATTTAGAAACCAGTGAAGGAAAACAAGATCTGACTGTATCGCCTGAAAAAAAGCCATTCTTAGGTCTCATTTGAGGTGCTTCCATTTACTTGAGGTGTGACTGAGGGATATCTTCTAATTCATTTGGTGCTGCCTACGCTGTTCACTATTTGAATCCTCATTGCAAAGCTCCACCTTGTCTCTTGAAAGTTTTAAGGGCAATTGCATAACTTATCAACCAAACTAGAAGAGTATAATAGGGTGCAAGTAAAATTATGACAGAATAACACAAAAATCTGGACCGTTGCAGGGAAACTCACATGTGTGGTCATTCCACTTAAATCTAGGAACTCAGCATCTTTGTAGCCAGCGCTGGCTACTGGATGCTGGTGAAGCTGGAAACACTGAGCTGAGTGTTGAGGCTTGTGAGATGCACCGCTCAGTCATTCCTCCAGGTTTTGCTAATCCACCAGGGTGCTGCAAGGGAGCTGGACATAGATCTACAATACCAAAAGTCCCATGGACCTAGTCTCCATCCAGACATAAGGAACCTCATCATTACTCTCCAAGTTTGAGCCTTCCCATATTCAAAGTACATGTGGATTCTCTTGTCCTTACTTGTAAAATATCCTCAAGAGTTCAGGCTTTAAGAATATAAAAGGTAGGTAGAAACAGAAAATGTTTTTTAGGTACATTTAACTGTTATCTACACAATAAAATTTAGCTCTTTTGTGAGAGTGGCAAATAATTCCTTTCTTCTCCTCATTATTTCAGAATTATTTGAGAGGTAGACAGAGATTACCAAGAGAGAGATCATTAGGCCAGCTGTATTACTGATAAAGCTGATTGGAGAGGTGGTTTTAGATGTGTGGCCAAATGCACTAGTAAATACTTTACATCTTGACAATTAGACCTATTCATCCACTTAGTAACCAGCATACTGGACAACTTCAGGTCTCCTCAGAAGGGACAGAGCCCCCTGAGAGAAGGTCAGAACATGAATGGGTAGAGGATGTGACAGGCTGGTTTCAAAAGACAGAGTCTAGAAGGGGCTCCAATCCTACCCCACGGAGAAATTACTTTTTCTTCTATTGTGAGTGCTGTGGTCTCAATGTATGTGCTCCTCCAAAATTCATATGTTGGAATTTAGACCCTGAAGTGATGGTATGAAGAGGTGGGGCTTTTGGGGAAGTGATTTAACAATGAGGGCTTTGCCCTCATGAATTGATGAGTACTTTCTAAAAGTAGTCAAAGGGAGTGTGCTTGTCCCTTTTTAGCCCCTTCCACCATGAGAGGATACAGTAAGGGAGAGGAGCCCTTGCCAGACACTGAATCTGCTAATTCCCTCTTGGACTTCTCAGTCTCTGTAACTGTGAGAAGATTCATTTCTGTTTTGTTATAAATTATCCAAAGTATTTTGGTTTAGCAGCACAAATGAACTAAGAGAATGAGCTTCAAGGCAAAAGGAGCTTTCCCATAGGAGCTTTCATCTCTAATTTTTCAGCAGCAAAAACAAATACACAAAAAACCAACAAGTTAATATTTCAGTGCATAATTTTGCCTAAACCATGGGCTTTCTGAGTACAAACCTTTAAAAAAGAAGATAACTCTCTTGTCCTAATGTTTAGTTAGTTCATAGTAGGTTTTTATTTTCATTATCATTATCATTATCATTATCATTATCATTATCATTATCATTATTTGAGACAGAGTCTCCCTCTGTTACCTAAGCTGGAGTGCAGTGGTGCGATCTCGGCTCACTGCAACCTCTGCCTCCCGGATTCAAGCGATTCTCCTGCCTCAGCCTCCGAGGTAGCTGGGACTACAGACCCATGCCACCACGCCCGGCTAATTTTTGTATTTTTGGTAGAGACGATGTTTTGCCATGTTGGCCAGGCTGGTCTCGAACTTCTGACCTCATGTGATCCACCCCGCCTTGGCCTCCCAAAGTGCTGGGATTACAAGCGTGAGCCCTCAGCCCAGCCAAGTTTTCAATATATATTAGTTATGCATGCCTGCATGAACAAATGAATCATGACTTTTTCATTTTATTTCCCTAAACAGAAACTTTCAGTTGACTTAATTGAATTTATAAGTTATTTCTTATCCTAGAATCCAGCACGTTTTTATCTTGTCCTAAGAAAACTTACCACATTATCTTCTACACTTGCCAATATAATCTTTCCATTCCTGTCCAATGGATCTAGTGAAAATTAGTTGTGCCATGCTCACTTTCATTTTATGATTGTTTAGATTGTATTACTTTTTTCCCTGTTGTAATCCTCTACATCATTCTTCAATCTCGTGTTGAAACTACATATTTTTTCTCATAAATTGCTTATTAAGGAAGCCAAAGTTTTCTCTTCTCCTCAGACTACTATAACTTATACTGATTCATGCAACTCAATTGTTACTTTTCAAATATTTCCTTGTTTGGCTGCCATATATATTTTTTCTCTTCAATTAATAAAATTCTTGAGAATAAGAAACATACCTACATTTTTCCCCCTTGCTTTCATGCCTAGAAGAGCACTGAGCAGATAATAACTGCTAAGTACATCTCACCGACGGTGTTAAATAAACAAAAGCCTGACATGCTACGTAGTTTCCTGCCTGTGCTCTGCAGTTTAATGGCCAACAGAAGGTCTTTTGTGGCAATTTATGTTTCTGAGTCAAGAGCATTGTAATCAAACATCCTCCAAACGAAGTCAGAAGTTAAACTCCTGCCACTGTCTTCCCCTTTTCCAAGCACAGAAGACTATTTTTCTAAGGAAATTCTGAGAAATTATCTTTCATCATAATTAGTACATAATTCCAACTCAGTTAACCTTTGCATGTTACATGATAACATCTCCTTGGTTTAGCTTCAGGAAGTGATGATGTCATACAGTGTAGGTGGGGAGCATATACTATTACAACACTTTTGGAGGACAACCTAGCAATGATATCACATGCCTGAAAATGTATAAAATCTTGGCTATTAAGTTCTGGTTTCTTATCCTGAGGGATTAGTCAGAAATATGTGCAGGATTTAGATGAGAATTTTGTGACATTATGAAAAGTGGAAAACAAGTTCTATGTCAAGAAATAAAGATTGATAAAATAAACTAATATATGTATCGTGTATGTGTGTTATGTGTCAACATAAATGGTTATGAAAAATAAAATAATTTTATCTGTATAAGAGTAAAAAAAGATGAAAATTTTAAAAATTAAAAATTGATTAAGAAATGCAAAATATGCAAACATAACAGATAAAATGGAGGAAGTTATAAACATTTACACAATGGTGATACTGGTGTTTATCACTAGATAAGTGGAGTGATATGTATTTTTCTCTTATTCAATTACTATTATCCTATATTTATTTTGGTTACCTTGGGTTGCTCTGGAAATGAGTAAAAACAGAATTCATTTTAAATTAAAACAAAGGTATTAAAGTATGTAATTGTCTAGGACATTTGAAAAAGATCTATATATTCAATCAATTTAATAACACTTGTGAATACCCAATTAATTCCGGAGAGGGGTTGTGAGGTGGGGTTCACACACTTTTGAGGTAAATGGGCTCTAGGTCGAATAAAAGGATGAAGTTATCAAGGTTTGAAAAATATTTTTTACCTGGGTACACTGGAAAAATCTATCCTTTCCTAGAAGCTAATGGCCTTTATGCACAGCAATCTGCTACAGCAGCCTGCACAATTTTATTTGCCTCCTCCAGATGATGTGCATACTAATTAGTCATGAGAATTCCCTTTTCACAAGGTCAAAGAGTTAATGTTAGAAGCATGGTTTATAGGCACTTCTTTCTTTCTACAAACAATGATAAACTCTCACATTTTGCTTATTATAAATAAGTTTAAAATAACATTGAAAAATAAATATTTTAACAAAGAAAATTAGGGCATTAAGAGGGAGAGACTGGATAATGTGTTCATGGAAGAGGCCTGTAGATTTTATAACAATAATAGTTATCATTTTCATAGTATCTTTTGTCCTGCCTTCATGACAATATTTTAAACAATAGTTACTTAAGATTTTTGAGTGAATTTAATGAATTTCTTATTGTTGCTTTATTCATTAATGTCTAGGTCATTCATTAATTCATGGCATACTTACAGGCAACTTCAGTACTATTGTGGATTCAGTTCTAGACCACTCCAATAAGGCTAATATTGCAATAAAGCAAATCGCAGTAATTTTGTTTGCCAGTGCACATATAAGTTATATTTATACTATAATCTATTCAGTGCACAATGGCATTAAATCTTAAAAAAATGGACATATCTTAACCAAAAATACTTTATTGCTAAAAACTGCTAACAGTCATCTGAGTTTTCTTTTTCCTAGTGAAAGGTCTTGCTTTGAAGTTGATGGCAGCTGATGGATCAGGGTGGTGGTTGCTGAAGACTGGGGTGGATGTGCCAATTTCTTAAACCTACAATGAAGTTGCCTCATTGATTGAGTCTTTGTTTCATGAAAGATTTCTCTGTAGTATGTGATGCTACTAGATAACATTTTACCCATAGTGGAACTTATTTCAAAATTGGAGTAAATTATTTCAAATCTTGATGCTGTATCAATTAAGCTTATGTAATATTCTAAATCTTACATTGTCATTTCAACAGTGTTCACAGCATCTTCACCAGGACTATATTGTATCTCAAGAAACTCCTTTTCTTGCTCATTCATAAGAAGCAACTCCTCATCTGTTCAAGTTTTATCATAAGATTACAATAACTCAGTCAGAGATTCTGGTTCCACTTCTAGTTCTCTTGTTATTTCCACCACATCTGCAGTTATTTCCTCCACTGGCCTTGAACCCTTCAAAATCATGCATCAGGGCTGAAATCAACTTGTTCCAAACTCCTGTTAATGTTGATATTTTGACTTCCTCCCATGAATCATAAGTGTTCTTAATGGCATCTAGAATGGTGAATCCTTTCCAGAGGTTTTCAATTTATTTTGCCCAGATGTTTCAGAGGCATCATCAAGACAGCTATAACCTTACAAAATGTATTTGTTAAATAAGACTTGAAAGTCAAAATTATTCCTTGATCCATGGGCTGCAGAATAGATAAGATGTTCTGTTAGAAGTCATGAAAATAACATTAATCTCCTTGTATATCTTCACTAGAGCTCTTGGGTGACCCAGTGCATTGTCAATGAACATTAATATTTTGGAAGGAATCTTTATTTCTGAGCAGAAGTTCTCAACAGTGGGCTTAAAATATTGAATAAACCATGCTGTAAAAGATGTGCTGTCATCCAGGCTTTGTTGTTTCATTATAGAGCATGGGCAGAGTAGATTAAGCATAACTATTTAAGGCCCCAGGATTTTTGGAATGGCAAATGAACTTCAGCTGCAATTTAAAATCACTGGTTTCATTAACCCCTAACAAGAAAGTTAGCCTGATCTTTGAAGCTTTGAAGCGAGGCATTCACTTTCCTGTAGATATAAAAGTCCTAGACGGCATCTTCTTCCAATAGAAGGCTGTTTAATCTACACTGAAAATATGTTGTGTACTGTAGCCACCTTCACCAATTATCTTAGTAGATCTTCCAGATAACTTACTGCAGCTTCTCCATCAGCACTTGCTGCTTCACCTTGCACTTTTACGCTATGGAGACAGCTTCTTTCCTTAAACCTCGTGAACCAACCTCTGCTAGCTTCCAGCTTTTCTTCTACAGCTTCCTCACCTCTTTCAGTCTTCATGGAATTGAAGAGAGTTAGGACCTTGCTCTGTACTAGGCTTTGGCTTAAGGGAATGTTCTAGCTGGTTTGATCTTCTAACGAGACCTCTCAACGTTTCTCCGTATTATCAATAAGACTGTTTTGCTTTCTTGTCATTCATGTGTTCACTGGAGTAGCACTTTTAATTTCCTTTAATAATTTTTTCGTTTGCATTTACAATTTGTCTATTTGGTGCAAAGGGTCTAGCTTTGTGCGCATCTTGGCTTTTAACATGTCTTCCTCACTCAACTTAACCCTTTCTAGATTTTGTCTTAAAGTTAGAGACTTGAGATTCTTCCTTTCACTTGAACACTTAGAGCCTGTTGTAGGGTAATGAATCAGCCTAATTTCAATCTCATTGTGTCTCAGAGAATAGGAAGACTCAAGAACAGGGATACAGATGGGTAGATAACCAGTTGGTGGAGAGGTCAGAGCACACACAACATTTATCAATTAAGTTTCCTGTCTTATGTAGGCACAGTTGTGGCCCCCCAAAATAATTGTGATAATAACATCAAAGACCACTGATTACAGATCACCATAACAGATATAATCATAATGAAAAAGTTTGAAATATTGGGAGAATGACCAAAATGTGACACAGAGACAGAGAGTGAGCACATACTGTTGGAAAAATGACACCAATAGATTTGCTCGATGCAGGGTTGCCACAAATCCTCAATCTGTAAAAATCACAAAACCTGTGAAGCACAATAAAGCAACGTATAGTAAACCAAGATATGCCTGTATTTTTGTATGTATTTATTTAGCACCTGCTGTGTTCCCAGTGCTGTGCTGAGGTTCAGCAGTCCTGTTCTTAAGGAGTTTATAGTCTAATTGAAGAATAAAGGGAACTCAATTTCTATTCCTATGCTTTTCACTCCTAGCTAACAACCTTGGTTCTTAGCACATTCCTATGGTATTTTAAATGGGTTCTTTTGGACAGAAATAGCATATGACAGGATTTCCCTGGTTGGCACTTTACCACCACAGGAAGCTGTCCAGGCCAGACCTTTATAAATCTGAGATGCCTGAGTACCCACAGACAGGACTCTTGGGACTCAGTATTCTGGGAATCCCTCAGCCTTAGCCAGCCA
This sequence comes from Homo sapiens, assembly GCF_000001405.40. Taxonomy (NCBI): domain Eukaryota; kingdom Metazoa; phylum Chordata; class Mammalia; order Primates; family Hominidae; genus Homo; species Homo sapiens. The sequence goes on along the minus strand of NC_000004.12, from coordinate 155,579,131 downwards.
CACTCTCTATGTCTTATCATTTTTTTCTCATACTCTGCCCAATATATAAGTCCCTTAAGGCACACTGCAATTTTCCCTCAGGCTTTAGCTCCTTGGATCCACCATTCCACCCCTCCTTTCCTCTCTTCATCTCTCCTCTGAGTGTTCCTTGCAGCTCCAGTAAAGTCACTTCCAAGTCAATGTATGCAACAGAACTTCCTTACAACCCTTGGCTTCAATTCAATATCTGTGTTTGTCCACACACCACAACTCGTTATAAATGCCTAGCTTCAGCCTCCAGCATTCACTGCAAATAGCCTGCATAGTCATGAAATCTGTTTTTTTTTTTTTTTCCAGACAGAGTCTCACTCTGTAGACCAGGCTGGAGTGCAGTAGCGATCTCAGCTCAATGTAACCTCCACCTCCTGGGTTCAAGTGATTTCTGGCTAATTTTTGTATTTTTAGTAGAGATGGGGTTTTACCATGTTGGCCAGGCTGGTCTCAAACTCATGACCTCAAGTGATCCACCCACCTCAGCCTCCCAAAGTGCCAGGATCACAGGGCCAGGCCTATACTCATGAAATCTAATGCGCACTTTTGAATCATTCTCTTCAATGATCTGATAACAGCGTTTTGTGCTTTACAAAGCAATCTCTTCACTTGGCTTAAATGATAACACATCTTTTTCTTCCCCTTTCCGGTGTTTCTCTCTCTCTAGTACATTTTTTTCCCTTGAAATATTGCTGCATTTATTTCATCTTACATCATGGATCTTCTGCTTGTCTCACACTAGATAACCTTTCGGATGATTTCATTACTGCCGTGACCTTAGTCTACTTACATAAGACTGCCAAATCTCTCTCACAGCCCAGATTGCACTCTTAAATCTCTCCCTTTGAAACTCCCCAAGATATACTGTACATTGTCTGCATACTAAGTGGAATTCAAGATCTTTTCTGCAAATATGCTTCCCCTTCACCAATCCCCAGTTGAGTAAATAGTACCACACTCCGTCCTTGTCTAGAAAATTTGGAATCACATTTAATTTTTTTGTTCTTTCTCACTCTCCTTATCTAATCTGACACAAGTCTTATCAATATTTTTCTGTCTATAGAAGCAGTCCGTTTCTCTCTGTCATCCTGAAAAGACTCTAACGCAGGCCACCTGAATTACTGAAACTGCCCCTAAACTAGCCTCCTTCCATTTACTTTTATAAAACATTAAAACTCTTCATTTAATAAAGTTCAAACAACTTAAAACTCTTCATTATAATAAAGTTTGAACAATTTCCCATGGCTTACAAGATGTGATGGACAGACTCTAGGGTGGCCCGCGTTACCCCTACTTCATATGTTTCTGGTACTCATAGCCTTGTACGAGCCCCTCTCATTGAGTATGGGTGAGTTCTGTAAGTGGCTTCTAAACAATAAAATATGGCAAAGGTGATTACATTACGTCTTGCCAGCCGACTCACTGCAGAGACTCCTATTGCTTGTTTGATGAATCAAGTGACCATGTGGAGGAAATACATGTGGCAAAAAATTGCAAGGCAGCCTCTAGAAATTGACCTCTAGAAGTTGAGGGTCATATTTAGTAGCCGATAGCCAGCAAAAACCCAGGGCCCACAGTCCTATATCTTTGAGGAATTCTACCAACAACCTCAGTGAACTTGGAAATGAACTTATACCCTGTTGAGCTTTCATGTGAGAATTCAATAAAAAAGGGGCAGGGGAGGTATGGAGGACTGAATCAGGGAAGGAATTATTATTATTGTTATTATATTATATATATATTTTTTTGAGATAGAGTTTCGCTCTTGTTGCCCGGGCGGGAATGCAATGGTGCAATCTCTGCTCACTGCAACCTCTGCCTCCTGGGTTTAAGCGATTCTCCTGCCTCAGCCTCCCGAGTAGCTGGGATTACAGATGCCCGCCACCACACCCAGCTAATTTTTGTATTTTTAGTACAGATGGGATTTCACTATGCTGGCCAGGCTGGTCTCAAACTCCTGACCTCAGGCAATCCATCCCCCTCAGCCTCCCAAGGTGCTGGGATTACAGGCATGAGCCACCATGCCCAGCCATTATCATTATTTTTTTAAATTCTCCAAGTACCAAGTCTTTGCCAAGTATTGGGCTGTATAGCCAAAACTGAACAGAGCAGGCCCAGTCCCAGTTCTTGTGGAAACTTGTAGAATATAATAGAAAGCAGATATTAATTATCCTAAAATAATTCCTTGCCCTGAATCAGTCCTTCACACTTCCCCTGCCCCTCCTTCATTCCTTACTCCTCTCAATACATGAACTCTTGTTCCTCAGATCTCAGCTTAAGTGTTAATGTCTCAGTGAGGACTTCTTTGATCCTAGAGCAGTTTAGAGCCTTCTGATACGTGCCTGATATATGCTCCATAGTACCCTGAACTTCATGTGATAAGACGTATGCCGTTTGAGGATAATTAATTGTGAAATATCTGTTTTCTATATATTCTATACGTTCAATGAGAACTGGGACTGGGCCTGCTTTGTTCAGTTTTGGCTATACAGCCCAATGCTTGGCAAAAATTTGGTACTTAGAGAATTTTTTTTTAAATGAAATGAGTTAAGTGAAGGAAGAAAGACTAACAAAAGCATTTGGGGCAGAAAGAAGATACTCAGATTTTCTTGTGCTTGCATTGCTATTTGATAACAACTTACTGCACAGATATTTATAATAGTCAAAAGCGATGGAGACTCTTTATTTATCATATATATTTAGTAGACATGGAGAATTTTTAAGATTGAAGTGATGAGCATGAGAGGAAGAAGGGTAAACTCCTACCAAAGAAATGCAAGCCAAGGTGAAAGACACATTCTCAGATATGAAAGAAAACATCAAACCTTGGTTTTCCTTTGGTTTATTTATACAAAATGACAATAACAAGAGAGCAACAACAACAACAAAAGACAAATGTGTCAAGCCCTATGCTGGGTGTTTGGAATACAGCAGAAGATAAGAAACCTTCACTGCCCTCGAGGGGTCCCATTCAGGAGGTGAGAGAGGAGTCCTGCAAACACAATGTATTGAGATGAGAAAGAACAGGGGCTCATGAGGGATTACACACCATGAAAGGTCCTTCTGTGGAGGAGATCAAGTCCCTAGGAGGGGGAGACTTTCATTTCTTCTTGATCACCAAAGTTCTGGGAACAACAGAGTAATACAAACATTACAATTTTTAAAATATGTCTATGAGAATAAAGTATAAAACAAAGAGAAAACATAATTCATAGTGAAAATAGATGAATACAAAAATCTTATTGGTTTTAATGAAAAAATATATTATTTTTTATAAACCACTGTAATTTATATTTTGTTATTTGATTTTCATAGCAATCTTTTATAGAATGTAAAGCAATTGTATGTAATTCATTTTATACATGTGAAAATAGGACCTCAGAGAATTTAAATAAGTGGCTTAAGATTACAGATGGTCTTTGAATCATCCTGCTGATTCCAAATAAAAAATACTGTTCAATGGATCCCATACAAATAATTAATGAGAAAAACCTTAGTGTATTGTATGGGCAGTAGTTTCCAAAAAAACCTTATTTTATTGGTCAATATCTAATTAAGCACATAAAACAGATGATGGTATTTAAACTTAATCCCATGGTTAACTTAGTCACATGGGTCTATAGTATCCTTCAACTGGGGAAAGTGCTACTTTTTGTCTTCTTGCATGTATTGATTAGTGTGTATTAATTAAGAAGCCTACTAATATATATGGAATTTCTTTTGATGTAATTTAAAGACATTTCCATGTCTTATGTCCTCTAAGGAGACAAAGAACAAAAGATAGCATTAGGAAAAAATGCAATACTCTGGATATCTGTAGTCACTTTGTCACTTTTGTCCCACTTCAGATGCTCTGTAATTCTCATCCCTCCTTTTTGATATATGGCCATAACAGCAGAAAAATGAGGATATCAGAGATATGAAACACAACAATCATAATAATTTACAATGATAAGGAAGTGAATAACAATAGTTGCTATAATGCCAAATATGTGCCCATCCCTGTGTTAGAGGTTTATTGGCATTATTTATTTTTATTTTTATTTTACCTTAAGTTCTGGGATACAAGTGCAGAACGTGTAGATTTGTTGCGTAGGTTTATATGTGCCATGGTGGTTTGCTGCGCCTATTAACCTGTCATCTAGGTTTTAAGCCCCGCATGCATCAGCTATTTGTCCTGATGCTGTCCCTCCCCTCGCCTCCAGCCCCCAGACTGTCCCCAGTGTGTGTTGTTCCCATCCCTGTGTCCATGTGTTCTCATTGTTCAACTTCCACTTATGAGTGAGAACATGCGGTGTTTGCTTTTTTGTTCCTGAGTTACTTTGCTGAGGATGATGGCTTCCAGCTTTATTCATGTCCCTGGAAAGGACATGATCTTATTTCTTTTTATGGCTGCATAGTATTCCATGGTGTATATGTGCCACATTTTCTTTATCCAGTTTATCATTGATGGGCATTTGGGTTGGTTCCATGTCTTTGCTATTGTAAATAGTGCTGCAATAAACTTGTGTGCATGTGTCTTTATAGTAGAAAGATTTATATTCCTTTGAGTATACACCAGTAATGGGATTGCTGGGTCAACTGGTATTTCTGGTTCTAGATCCTTGAGGAATCGCCACACTGTCTTCCACAATGGTTGAATTAATTTACATTCTCACCATATCAGTGTATGTTTGTTGGTTGCATAAATGTCTTCTTTTGAGAAGTGTTTGTTCATATCCTTTGCTCAGTTTTTGATGGGGTTGTTTTTTTCTTGTAAATTTGTTTATGTTTCTTATACATTCTGGTTATTAGACCTTTGTCAGATGGGTAGATTGCAAAATTTTTCTCCCATTCTGTAGGTTGCCTGTTCACTCTAATGATAGTTTCTCCTGCTGTGCAGAAGCTCTTTAGTTTAATTAGAGCCCATTTGCCAGCTTGGCTTTTGTAGTAATTGCTTTTGGAGTTTTCGTCATGAAGTCTTTGCCCATGCCTATGTCCTGAATGGTATTGCCTAGGTTTTCTTCCCAGGTTTTTATGGTTTTTGGATTTTACATTTAATTCTTTAATCCATCTCTAGTTAATTTTTGAATAAGGTGTAAGGAAGCATCCAGTTTCATTTTTCTCCATATGGCTAGCCAGTTTTCTCAGCATCATTAAATAGGGAATACTTTCACCATTGCTTGTTTTTGTCAGGTTTGTCAAAGATCAGATGTTGTAGATGTGTGGTGTTATTTCTGAGGTCTCTGTTCTGTTCCATTGGTCTGTGTGACTGTTTTGGTACCAGTACCATGCTGTTTTGGTTACTGTAGCCTTGTAGCATAGTTTGAAGTCGGGTAGCATGATGCCTTCAGCTTTGTTCTTTTTGCTTAGGATTGTCTTGGCTATACAGGCTCTTTTTGGTTCCATATGATTTTTAAAGTAGTTTTTTCTAATTCTGTGAAGAATGTCAATGGTAGTTTGATGGGAATAGCATTGAATCTACAAATTACTTTGGGCAATATGGCTATTTTCACAATGTTGATTCTTCCTATCCATGAGCATGGAATGTTTTTCCATTTGTATGTGTACTCTTTTATTTCCTTGAGCAGTGGTTTGTATTTCTCCTTGAAGAGATCCTTCATGCCCCTTGTTAGGTGTATTCCTATGTATTTTATTATCTTTGTAGCCTGGAGCTATAGAGATGGCTGCTACCATTCCCCTGGCCTGGGAGCTTAGTGTGTTAGGCAGCTATCAGTCCCAGTGTTGGCTGTCGCCCCTCCCATAAGGAGCTCAAATGGCTTAGACAGTAGGCAACCTCAGCTGTGGTGCTTGTCTCCCCTCATCCCCGGGGAGCTGGGCAGGCTTAAGCAGATTCTAACTTAGTGGCTGTTGAGAATCTGTGTGCTCTGTGATTGGGACACTAGGCCCCAGTGGCATTGGGTCACGAGTGGGATCTGCCAATCCGTGGGGTGCACAGTTCTGTGGAAAAAGCACGTATTCCCAGGGTGGGTAGCACCCTCACTCACCGCCTCCCTTGGCTGGGGTTGAGGGATCCCCTGCCCCGTGTGGCTCTTAGGTGGGCTACTGCACCACACTGCTCTTCCTTCCCCACACTACTCTTCCTTCCCCACACTGCTCTTCCTTCCCCTCTGTGGGTCACGCCAGCTGCCTAGTCAGTTCTGACAGAACCTGGATACCTCAGTTGCCTGTGCAGGATTCACACGCTGTTATGATTTTTGTTTGTTTTTTGAGACAAAGTCTTTCCCTGTCACCCAGACTAGAGTGCAGTGGTGCAATCTCCGCTCACTGCAACCTCCACCTCCCAGGTACAAGCAATTCTCCTGTCTCAGCCTCCCAAGTAGCTGGGACTACAGGCGCTCGCCACCACGCCCAGCTAATTTTTGTATTTCGAGTAGAGACACGGTTACACCATGTTGTTCAGGCTGGGCTCGAACTCCTGAACTCAAGTGATCCATCCACCTCAGCCTCCCAAAGTGGGATTACAGGCGTGAGCCACCGCGCCCAGCCTGTTATGGTTCTTTTTGATAGGAGTCTCAGATTGCTGCTGCTTCTAGTCAGCCATCTTGGCCCCACTCCAGCATTACTTCATTTAATCCTTGCTACAGTACTTTGTTGGCGATACTTAGGTAATTCTGAGAGCAAAACAACCATACACTTCAGTTAGGGAAAAACGAGACTGAAACCAGAACTAGAAGGTCATCAGATCTGTGACTACACCAGAGTGTCCAGTCCTCTGTGTGTGCTCCAACCCCAATTTTCAGGAAGAACTCCTGGAATGCAATCCAACTGCCTAACCCACGGCCACGGGCCCTGCCTTGTCAGGATGATTCTCACCTGCTAGTCTTCTGCTGCCTCACTCTTCGCCTTACTTCTGGCCCCATTCTCAGTCTTCTGATATTTTGCTTGCTTTCCCCTTTCTCAACTTAAGTCTTCTTGGGTGGCTCCTTAGGGTTTCAGCTTAAATGTTCCTTCTTCAAGAGAAACTTCTGTAACGAAATTTAGGTCTCTTAATAGCTTCTATCTAACCACCTCCACCACTCTCTGTTTCTCTCATAGAAATAATCACAGCCTGTAAATATTTTATTTCATGTTTATTTGTGTATTGTTCATCACACCCATTAGACTATATGTTCATGAGGGCAGTAATACTGTTCATCTTCACTGTTGAATCCTTAGTGCCTGGTACAAGTTATAGAACATATAAGAGGCACACTGTAACTATTTTGTGAATGAAAAAATGAATCCATAAATTGGCTAATTACCATCACCTTCCTTTAGCAGAGGGCTTTCCAGAACACCCCGTTGGATTCCTGGTAAAACTTTCACTGGAGCACAGGCCAACTGGCCTCTGTAAGATGAGTGGCTGTCTCCAGATAAAGAATTTCTAACTGCTGCCTTCCAGAGCAGTGGACTGTGAGTGGGACAGTTCCATTTAAAAGACTTGGAGATGTGACTGACATGTAATATTCAGTTTTAAAGCAAACTCAGAGAGGTTAATTATCTTTTTCAAGGGCAGTATTTGAATTTGGATTTGTCTGACACTAAAGCTCAGAATGTGCCCATGCCAAACAAGCCCCAGCTGATATGATAAAATTGACTTTCTTATCTATCAGTCTTCAATTGACATTGTGTTCTGCACCACTACAAGAGGAAAAAAAAAAATAGGAGGATAATGGTTGCTGGGCAACCAAAGGCACCAGGATGTCCTGGTTGCAGCATAATCAGTTGAAACCTGGAAAGCCTCCCAGGATTAGACTACCAGGAGTAATTATTTATCTGGCCTCTAATATCCCATCAGAGTTGCCTTGAATTCCAGTCTCACATACTAAAATTATAGGCATTATCTCCAATTTCACATCATCTAGAATGTAATTATGTTCTGTGAGATAATTTAAGTCTATTGGCTGATGATTTAATCTATTGAGAAATTTATCCATAATTATAGTATCATCCCTGGGAGAGTTTCTGTATGAAACATAATTTTTTAAAAAGGAAATTTTCGTGATTTTAAGACAGTTATATTTCACCTGCATGGACTCACATATCCAAACAATTAAATTATTTAAAATATAACCAATAATTCAGATTTGTCTTAGTAGTGGATTAAGATTATAGAAACCAGCTTCATGTTTCCCAGTAAGGTACAAGTCACCCCAACCATGCAGAACATGCAAAAAGGGGTTCCCAAACCTACTTTTTAACACTTAGGCACTCACTGAGAGTAAGAAGGGTGTGAAATGGAAGTCGCTGGGCTAGTTGAAGATTGCTGAGGCTTCCTTTTGAGAGATTAGTGCTTGGTGTCCATCCTCCCTCCCCACCTCCAGCCACAGTGAAGGAATAGAGTTGTGTTCACTTTAAGACCAGCAAGGAGGCTTCGACTGACTACTAAACAAATTTACTATGTGCCCCTGCATTTGAAGGACAAAGTGAACTGATGGCATCACCTATGAAATCTCTATAGTGAGAGCTGCTTGTAGTGAGTTTCTATAGCAGAGTTGGGGTTATGTTTTTGAGAGAAACTGCCCTGCCTCTGACTACAGTACTAAGGTGTGTTTTCTATGTACCTACAGGCCATGTTTGAGAAGGATGGAGGTGTTGTTTTAGACTTTGTGTGGAAGGGACACAGGGAGGAGCAGAAAGACTTCATAAGAAAGATGCCAGAAATGGTCAAAATTAAATTAGATGCACAGGGACTGAGAGGGAAGTCGTAACTGGTCAGCTGGAAATTAAAGTTCCATTCTTAATCATGGGATTCAGGGGTGACGTCTCCTAAGAATCTCTATAAATGTTCCAAGAGAGAAAATGCCAGTATTGGGATGAGTCAAAGGAGAAGACCGCCACAGTCCCTTTCCACTGCAGGCTTCCTGCAGGAGCAGGGCCAAGTTGTTAATCACATTCAGAGATGAGATTGGTACATTGGACTTATTACTAAATGGAGTTTGTTTTGGAGAAAAACATGGCTGAAGGTCTTTTCACTGTGAAAATGTCCAGAAAATATATGGAGCCCACGTATGAGAGAAGAACCAGCTACAGAAGGACATTTCTAAACAATGATGGAAGATAATAAATCAGTTTTCTTGGTTTCTTATGCTGCCCACTTCTTAAAGGCTTCAGCTACTTCCCTTCCCTTCCCTTCCCTTCCCTTCCCTTCCCTTCCCTTCCCTTCCCTTCCCTTCCCCTTTTTCTTTTTCTTTTTTTCTTTCTTTTTTTTTTCAGTCTCACTCTGTCACCCAGGCTGGAGTGCAGTGGCACAATCTTGGCTCACTGTGACCTCTGCCTCCCGGGTTCAAGCAATTCTTATGCCTCAGGCCCCTGAGTAGCTGGGACCCCAGGTGTGTGCAACCATGCCTGGCTAATAATTTTTGTATTTTTAGTAGAGGCGGGGTTTCGCCATATTGGTCAGGCTGGTCTCAAACTCCTGGCCTCAAATGATCCACTCCCCTGGGCCTACTATAGTGCTGGGATTACAGGCATGAGCCACTGCACCTGGCTGGCTTCTGCTATTTTTCTAAAAAGAGCACTCCACTCCTAGCTTTGTTAACATCTGTGACATAATTTCCAATACTTTATAACCAAATTTCCCAGCCCCCAGAAAATAAGAGCTGAATCATGAGGAGTGAGATAAAGAGTGAAGCTAGAATGAAGCAGTGACAAAAATTATACATGCAGACATCATTTGGGCTCTGTATTATTCATGAGTTTTCACCAAATACAGTAAAGTCTCATTATCATTATTATCACTTTTTTTATTGAGATGGAATTTCACTCTGTCGCCCAGGCTGGAGTGCAGTGGCACAATCTTGGCTCACTGCAACTTCCGCCTCCTGGGTTCAAGTGATTCTCCTGCCTCAGCCTCCCGAGTAGCTGGGACTACAGGCACTTGCTACTATGTCTGGCTAATTTTTGTATTTTTAGTAGAGACAGGGTTTCACCATATTGGCCAGGCTGGTCTTGAATTCCTGACCTTGTGATTTACCTGCCTCAGCCTCCCAAAGTGCTGGGATTTCAGGCATGAGCCACCACGCCTGGCCAAGTCTCGTTAATTTGAGCTAACCAAGTGGAACTAACATGATGTCTTCTGTGTGCCAGGCACTCTGGCATCCATTGACTCTGTGTGAATCTCCCTGAACCAGAGGTTCTCCACAGGGTGCTGGGAATGGGTTTTAGGATAGTCAACATAGTGAGAGCCAGAAGGGCCTGAGGTTGAAGCAGCCGTGCCTCTTCATCTTGTGAGCTACTCAAACAGGACTATTTCCTTCCCATGTTCTAACTCGTAAAAGGTTGAGAAGGCATCCTCTAGGCAAATCTGTGAGCTAGATATTAATAGCCTCATTTTATAAAATAGAAAATGGAAGCTCATAGAGATGCTATTAAATTTGCAGTGAAGAGCTAATGTTCAATCTAACTTAAACTCTTCACTATATAATATTTTCTTCTAAATTAACAGGAAATTAGAAGGCTAGATCTTTTCATGATCATTTATGAAGCATGGGTTTGTGAATGAAGTGTTAAGACCAGAGTTTAACTTCTTAAAGTTTCGGAGTAATTTAACATTATTTGTATATAGTGATACATACACTAATTGTTAATAAGCACTAACACTCTATGAGAAGCGTTATTCTCATTACCTAGTACTCATGCATTTGCTTAATTATCACACAAAAATCAATAGGGGATGCCATTTTATTCCCATTTTCCAGAGCAGGAAATGGACACAAAGACAGCATCAGTAACTTATCCCAACAAGTAAGGTTAGGATTTAGGCTCAGCAGAGTCCGACCTCAAGAGTGAAAGCACTTTACAATAACTGAACATTGCCTTTTTTTTTTATTGGATAAATGTTAACTGAATATATAAATGAGAGAATCCATAAAGAAAGTGATATTATTAAAGTTAATAACTATGATACATGAATTGTTTTATGGATATTTAAATGCATAAAATAAAATGCATTTAAACTAATTTATGAAGAAAACTCTGTGAAGGGAGTTGAGTAGGTCAACCACCAAGTAGTAGGTGAAGCAATAGTAACACACTAATGAAATTCACAGGATGTTGAACAAGTACCATGCTTCAAATCCCCACCTACCATTATGATCTTGAAAAAAATTATTTATCATCTTCAAGTTTCAGTTCATTTACATAAAATGGGTGATTATAATATCCTTGTGAATGTCGAAGGAGTTTCTGTAGGTAAAATGCCTAGCACAACGTCTGTCACACAGTAAGCACTCAATGGTGGTTAAATAATAATAATAGCAATAGCTTGCATTTTAAAATATCCAAAAGTAATTGTTACAAAAATTAAGGTTATAATTGTCATATTAAAACAAAATATCCGTATCAGAGTTATTTTTGTCCTTCCATGCAATGACAATACAGAATAAAAAGTATATTAGAAGTTAATTAACTAAACTTCCTGTGATTTTGAGCAACTGACAATGTCTCTAAGCGTTAGTTAAATGGTAGTAATATGTTAAATGGGATACTACTCATTGCTGCCAAGGAGTGTTGTGAAAATAAAATGGGAATACAAATCTAAAAGTTACAAACATAAAGAATTATTGTTATAGGAAAGTGTTTGTCACAATGAGAATTCCTAAGACTATCTTACAATTATGTGTTTTCAGATGGTCACTATTTTCAACATGGATAACAATGTTCAAATTTGAGTTTTTAATCTTGTTCACTTTTATCTCAAAGTGGTGTTTGAAGATGACATACTCAAGAGAATAAGATATTTACTGCATTTTCAAAGTATCAGTAGCTGTTACACAGCGATCATGTTTTTCTACTCTATAATCTTATATTGAAAGAGTGATTGCTTGTAAAACATTTAAGAAGGGATAATTTTTATTTATAATTAAGTTGGGCTCACTGTATGATTTTAGCAAAGAATTTATTCTTTCTATGCTTCCTCTGAAACATTTATTTGATGAGGATTATAAAACCTGCCATTTTCTGCCTTATGTTTTTTGTGTACAGTGAAGTAATTTGACTGAAGATAAGTTGAAACCTTTGAAACGTTGGAGCTATTTGATACTATTGGACAACTTTGACTATGTCTCATACCCTGGAAAAAAATGTGCATTGACCAGACCAGACGAGGAAAGCTATTCAATTCCGTTCAATCTGTATTTACTAGCCCTTTAATGTACCTACCAGTGGACCTAATCACTCTATTACTATTATCTATCTGTAATTTCTACCCAATACCAATTTCTTTATCCAATTCTTTTTACTATAATTGCAATATGGGAACTATTAAAGTGGGTGGCGAATGGGGCTGGGGCTGTGGGTGGGGAGTGTGGCTGGGGCCATGGCTGGGAGTCTGAAAGAAAGTTGTAATGTCTCATTCGCTATGCATGCAGCATCACTCAGGAGATGGGGCTGTGTGGGAAGATAGAGTGAGCTGTGGTAGATGAGTGTCAGGGTTCATGGGATCAAGGCAGTACTGTGTTGGTAAATCTTTTGCAATGGGCTCTGATGGGGAGGTCTGGTTTGAGTGTTGACCAATTTCCATTGTGTAAATACTCCTATTTTGGCTGATTTCAAGTCACCTATGTGACTCATTGAACTGGGAGCTGGAAACATCAGCACAATTGGCTCTATTAAGTTAATGCAGTCCAGCTGCAGTACAATACTGGCTCAGGGGCATGAAACTTAGAAGAAAAAATTGACTGCTCTTGTCATGCGCATAAAAGAACCACCAGTGAGATTTGCCTTTCAGACAGAAATAAAAGCCAAGACTGCACTTGGTGTCTTCCCACCCTGAAACTAGAGAGTCTCCAAAAGCCATAATTTGAAATATTATTCCTTCATACTTGCACCACCTAATTTAGGAAAATTATAGTTATATTACAAAGTCTCCTCCCTCCTCCAGGGGCTGTCTTCCTCAATATTCTGGCATTAGTGAACTTTGTTTTCATTGTCTATTCTTTACTCAGAAACATATATTCTTTGAGTTTTTAATAAGGACATAATTATTATTATGCTTACTTCTCTTTATGGATGAATGTAATCATTTTCTGGACATAACATAATGTTTTCCTGACTTTTTGAATATGAAGTTCAAGAAATTGAAAGCTTTGGCTGAAGTTACTTTTTCTAAATATAGAATTATTATTCTTGTACCATATGTTTCTTGCACAGACAGTAAGTTTGATTACTGTGGCACTGTAATGCGTATGTTACAGAACATCCTGGCCATATCTATGAGTCTTGGCAGGGAAAAGGACACACAAATCTCTGAGCAGTCTTTTCAATCTGGGAGGGAAGATCAAAAAGTTAATGCCATAGAAGATCCTAGCCCAAAGTATTCGCTTTATTATAATACTATCTTTATCTAATAAGATTGCCACAAAATAGATATAGAATCATATATAGTCATGCATTGCCTAGCAACGTTTCAGTCAAGGACAAACTACATTTGGTGGACCCACAAGATTATAATGGAGATGAAAATTCCTGTCATCTAGTGAAATTGCAGCCATGGTGTTCCAATTGCTTGCAGGACTCAGCACAGTAACATGCTGTACAGGTTTGTAGACTGGGAGCAATAGGCTATACCATGTAGCCTAGGTGTGTAGTGGGCTATACCATCTAGGTTTGTGTGAGTTCACTCTATGATGTTTGCACAAGGACAAAATTGCCTGATGACATATTTCTCAGAACACAGACCTGTCATTAAGGGACAGTAGTAGTATCTTTAAAAACATTTTAGCTGATAAAACAATGTGTTTCTCAGGTGATTCAGCACCTTCCCAAGGTCACACTGCCAGTTAGTAGCAGAGTTGGGGGTCTCCTGACTCACAGTCCAGTTCTGTTATACTCTACATGGCCTCTCAAGGTAGACCCAAACCTGGATTCTCTCTATGAAGGTTGTACCAGCTAAGATGTAACTTGTCCTGTTTAAGAAGTTGCCAAATGGTTCTCAAAAATGTACTGATTTGGATTAAGAGCCCATTTATGTCTTGCTCTAAGCAAGGAGTGATATAAAAGTAGCTGACGTGTCAGAAAGGCTCAGTGTGGTTTCTCATGTTGGCCCTGTGTGTTCCTTATTGCCAATAACTTGGTAGTGACAGAGCTGCAGAGATACCACAGGTGTAGAAGGTGATCTGTATTTCTTCCAAGAACAGCATTTCATGTGAGCGGGAGTAGTGCCACGCTCAGATGCAGAGGTAAGAGATGATTTTGCCTGGAGTGAAAGAGAATAGCTTTATTTTCCATCCTGATACCTACAACATTTATCACATGTAAGTGAATTAAGTAACTAACACAGTCTAAAACAATCCTTCCTTGAAATATTCGAGAAAGATTTTCTTGGTTGTCCAAGGAGATAATGCATCGCATTTATTAACAGCAAAGTGTTAAATATAGAGAGGCTACAAAAAGGAAACCTTATATTTTACTCAGGTCTGAGGGGAACATTAAACTTTCCCACTTGGCCAATCAGTTAATTTAACACTCTCCAGAGGTTCCCAAAGAAGAGGCCCAGCCTCTTACTAATCAGTCAATATATATTTATTTTAAATAGATATTTTAAATATCCCATCACTTATGAGAATGTTAAACAAAAACTTTATGATTGAAAAGTTTTATTGTAGAATTATCTTCTTGACAAGTAGATCCTAAGAGAGTACAACAGCTCACATTCTGCAAAAAAAGAGGAATTAAGTAACAATACCCAAAGTGACACGGGTGCATAAAGAGATAGAGGGGAGGGGAGTTATGCATTTAGATAGTTCACAGAAAGGAAAGTGACAATAAAAATCCAAAACCTCACCTCGTATCCTGAGTCACAATGGGCCACACCTGCAGAAATGACAAGATTTGACATGCAAAAGAACTGGAAGTAATTTTCTCTTGACAGTAATATGAATTTCTCCTCCAAGACAGGCTGGCAAAGAGTGCACAGAAGAATAAGAAGTCACAAATTTGGAAATCCCAAGGCCAAACCCCAGCAGAATCTCACTTAGTGAAATCAGTAAATGCCACTTCAAAGTTGGTTGATGGAAATGAGAGAAATTGACAGCATCTATGATGTAGTTATCCTCCCAAAGGTCAGAGCAAAGGGAACCAGCAGGCAGCTCTTCCAATTTTCCAAGACTTAGTTGTAGAGATTTCGCTTCCCAAGACTCACCATGCCAATCTTTTGAAAAATATTTTCATAAAGTTTTTGTTTACTTTATATGCAGCTTAATTATATGCAGTTTAATAGAAAGAATACTTGAGCACAAAAAAGTATATACTATTTCAAATTTTAAAATACAGTGTTTTGGCTTATAATAATTTTCCATGAAATGGACACATTTGCTTATCTGCTCTCACATCCTATATAAACCTGTCCAAAATCATTGTTGATTACTCCTTCAAAATACATTCTAACTCCAACCATGCTGATCACACCTACTCTTACAGTGCTTCTCTGAGCCATGGGCAGCTCTCACCTGTATAATCACCTCCTAACCCATCTGTCTGCTTTGACCCTTGGGGTCTCCATAGTGCCTTCTCAACACAGTGGACAGGCTGATCCTCTGATCCTTTAAAAATCTAAAATGCAAAATTAGCCAGGCATGGTGGCGCACGCCTGTAGTCCCAGCTACTTGGGAGGCTGAGGCAGAAGAATTGCTTGAACCCGGGAGACAGAGGTTGCAGTGAGCTGAGATCATGCCACTGCACTCCAGCCTGGTTGACAGAGTGAGACTCCGTCTAAAAAAAAAAAAAAAAAAAAAAATCTAAAATGCATTAAAAAAAAAAAGCAGCACACCAGAGCATTCTGAATCTGTGCTCACACACTCCGTTGCACTCCAAGAGGAAGACAAAGTCCTCCAATGGCCTACCATCTGTCTCCCCTCCACCACTCCTCTCCCTTTCTCTGCTTCCAGCCCCACAGGAGCCTCCTCCAGCCATTGGTCTTCTCACTGGCCGTTCCCTCTGCTTGGAACACTCTTTCCTCAGAATGGCATGAATAAATTCCTAACCTTCTTCAAGTGTCAAATGTCGCTTTCTCAATGAAAACTACCCATCCCACTCCAAATTTTCCTTACCCTGTTCTACTTTTTTTCCCCTTATAGCACTTTTTGTCTGCTAATATTCTATACAATTATTACACTTATTGTTAATTGTCTGTCTCCCTGTTATAATGTAAGATTTATGAGGACAAGGGTCTTCGTGATAATCACTATTATATTTTGGCACCTAGAACACCAGGCACAGAGTTATTACTCAAAAAATATTTGTTAATGAATGAACTATAGACAATGGCATAAAAACTCAAATCACTTACAGGACAGGGGTAAAATTTCATTAGAAAAAATTGTGCTTACTTTGGAAGACATAAAAAATAGGCTACATCATAAAGATATTTTGAATAAATAATTCGCACATTTAGTTTAGTGGTTATAAACAATGTCAATAACATTTTGAGTTGATCACACAAATTAGGATGTGATTAAGAAATTTTATGTTAGGAAATAAATGATTTGTAAAGAACAGTTGAATGATCAATCAGAATAGTTTTTTACTTATATTTTAAATGAAATGAGGTTAATAAATAGCATTTGAACAGCTGTTATGCTTTGTAATGTTCCTGTTCCTGTTAGTGCTGTTAGTCAATGGGTAAGCACTTTGACAAGCTCATTATATGCCCCTTCCCTAATCTCAAACAAACCAAAAGGTTGGCATTAGGATTTATGTTCAACAAACAAGGAAGTTAGAGCTGGGAGAATATTGAGAGACTTGCAGGAGCTTAATTAGCTAATTTAAGACCCTACTCATGTGCCATCTTTCTTGATGATGCCCAAGTACAGTTGATGACTCGATCTTCTGTGCTCAAGTAAGTCCTTGAACATATCTGTAGCAGCAGCTGCCTCATGCTTTTGTGACAATTGCTTTGTCACAAAAAGCAATAGGAGTGATTGTCTTTCCAAATCCTAGAAGAGGTGTCTTTTATTCATATTTGTTTCACACTAGTCTAAAGCAGTTTGGACATACGAATTTAACACATCTAAAATAATCTTGTAGATATGTTGCTGATAGCTTCTGTCATTTTGATGTTACATGATATGATTTTAAAATTTGATTTTAGAAATTTCTCACTAAATAGGAAAAATTATGAGTTCCAAAATTGCAGCAAACCTGGTGAGGTGAGGCATGCCAAATTCAGAGACATTTAAGTATGATTTGCTAAAATCTGTTCTAATCAATTACCAACTAGATATAGGCATTATTTCAGTGTTTGTGGGATTTTTTTCCCCAAATATACAAAGCTTGTATGTAAGAAAATCAGGTTAATATACCTAAAAACACTTTACAATGATTAAAATGGAGTCAATAAATCAGGTAAAATGAATATATATGTTTTTCTTCCCCACTGATTTTGACAAACACTATCTTAAAAAAAAGTTGGCCTGCAAACATAACAAATGGTTAATTTTCATAGAACCTGGAGCAGTAGGCCAGGCACAGTGGCTCACGCCTGTAATCCCAACACTTTGGGAGGCTGAGGCGGGTGGATCACGAGGTCAGGAGTTCAAGACCACCCTGGCCAAGATGGTGAAACCCTGTCTCTACTAAAAATACAAAAATTAGCCAGGCACGGTGGCAGGCGCCTGTAATCCCAGCTATTTGGGAGGCTGAGGCAGGAGAATCGCTTGAACCCGAGGGGCGGAGGTTGCAGTGAGCTGAGATGGTGCCACTGTACTCCAGCCTGGATGACAGAGACTCCGTCTCAAAAAAAAAAAAAAAAAAAAAGAACCTGGAGGAGTATTAATGTGATTAATTCTTTTGATGAAAGAAAAACTTCAGCTGAATTAAATTTAAATAAGTTTAACCGAGCAATGAAGGATTCACGAATCAGAGCCTTTCCAGCTCGGAGACTCCCGCGCAGCCACTTGGTGGAAGTAGATTTACAGACAGAAAAAGAAAAATGAAGCGACTTGTAGAAAACGCAAGTGAGGTACAGAAACAGCTGGATTGGTTACAGCTTGGCATTTGCCTTATTTAACACAGTTTGAACAGTTGACTACGTTTGATTGACCAAAACTCAGTGATTGGCACAAGTGTAGGCTACGGTCTGTTTACACCTCCACTTGTTTATAGTTCACGATGTACAGAAAAACCTTTACTCCAAACTTAAAACGTATAAGGAGACAGCTTTAGGTGAAACTTGATTTAACAGTATGGAACTTAGGACACATGTCTTAAGTGTACAGATTGCTGAATTTTTGCCAACTGAACACACCTTTGTAACTGACATCCAGATAAAGAGACAGAACTAATGGAATTCCAGAAGCTTTCCTTGTGCTCCTTTCCAGCCACCACAATACCACCTCCCATTCGCTTTCCCCCATAAATGTTCATCATTATGCTGGTGAAATCCCTGATTCTTCATGTCTTTATGACATTTCTAAACATCTGGAGACAAAACTCATCTTGGAGCAGCAGTGGAGGCTGCCACTCTACAAAGGGATAAATAAACGTTGTGGAGCTGGTGAGTCCTGAGTGGCTGCTGGAAAGCAAGACAAAGTCACACTTCTTTCTCCATTGTCTTCTCATCCTAACAGATCAGATTCAAGGTCTATAGTTTAAGTCTTCCTGTTCATTTGAATTTCCTGGAGTGTTTATATTACTGAAAAAAAGATTGGAGGGAATGGAGAACCTGGAGAATTCTTCCTTTTATATTCTCATAAATAACCAAAAAGGAATTATTTTAGATGTGTATTCATTGTGTTAATCTAAAGGTTAATCTAACCTTTAGAAGGGAATCTCAGGTCAGGAAACAAGTGATAACACTAAATATTCAGTGATCTCATTTTGGGGGATTAAGTGTCTTAGCAAGAACAATGTTGTAATTTTATTTTTGTTTCTAAGGAACTGAACTTTTACACAATTTCTCTGGTGATATTAGTATTCAGTAATTTTTAGAATGTCCAAATGAGGTTAATATCTTGTTCAAGAAAGGATGTAGTAGTTTGTATATCTGTGGTTAGAGTTTCTTAAGGGAAAACTGCTGGGAAAGATGTTATGTGGAAACCAATCTGCTTAGTGTCATGAAGAGGAATCTTGTAAGTAGCAACATCTGTCTGATCCATCACATTGAAAATGCAAACACACTGACCTCTTAAATTATAGCAGATTCTATTTCCCCCCAAAACTTCAGTTGCTTTATCCTGGTCTAATCAGAAAAATATATACTTTTTTTATATTTCTAAATATAAAATAATATCACATTAATGATAAAATTTTATAAAGTAAATTTTTAAAGAGTTTTAAAAATCAGGCTGGGTGCTGTGGCTCACGCCTGTAATCCCAGCACTTTGGGAGGCCGAGGCAGGCAGATCACAAGGTCAGGAGATCGAGACCATCCTGACTAACATGGTGAAACCCAGGCTCTATTAAAAATACAAAAAATTAGCCAGGTATGGTGGCAGGCGCCTGTAGTCCCAGCTGCTGGGGAGGCTGAGACAGGAGAATGGCGTGAACCCAGGAGGCAGAGCATGCAGTGAGCCGAGAGTGCCACTGCACTCCAGCCTGGGCGACAGGGCAAGACTCCATCTCAAAAAAAAAAAAAAAAAAAAAAAAAATTTAAAAATCCATAATTCCGTTATCCACAGTAGCTCTTAAAATGTTACTCTATATGGTTTATCTATTATCCTGCACATATATGTACATGTGTTTATTAACAAAGATAGGGTAATACTTTGTCTTGTTTTGTAATCTGATTTTTGTCACTTATTAATGCATGTTAAACATTGTCTCATCAACAGTTATTTACTTGTAAAATGTGTTTTATTTCCAAGATGTTTTTTAATGAACACACTGATGACATATTTGATAAGTATTTCCAAATTTGCCCTCAGGTAAATTGGTAAAAAGATTGTGCCAATTTACCTTTCTACCAACTCTAGGAGATTGACTTTTCCTGCACTTTTACTAAAATTGGGATAGCAGTTGCCTATGGTGAAAATGTTTTCTAAGTTTGCGATCTTTGGCTTACTACTCTGGTTGACTATTTTTATATGTATCTGTTTATATTTGTATGTGGGTATATATAAATTTTCTGTATCATTTTCCTGTTTTTCCATTGATGTGTTTCTTTCTTATTTTCTAATGAATGAACATATTAAGGATTAAATTGTCAGACATTCATGACACAAGCAATTCTCAGTTTAAAATTTGTCTTTCAGGTTTGTTTATTTTTAAATTTAACTCAAAATTTTTTTCTTTACAGAATGAATAAGACCTACTATTTGATAGCACAACAGGGTGACTATAGTCTATAATAACTAACTGTACCTTTTAAAATAAATTACAGTATAATTGGATTGTTTGCATCTCAATGGATAAATGCTCGAGGAGGTGGATACCGCATTCTTCATGATGCACTTACATCACATATCATGCCTGTATCAAAGCATCTCATGTACCCCCTAAATATATACACGCACTGTGTACACACAAAATTTAAAAACAAATTTAAAAAAGTTTTTCTTTATAGATTCTTGGTTATGATGCTTCAGTAAGATACTGCATTTATTGAGATTGTATAAATCTTTACCCATATTTTCCTTTATTCCATATATGATTTTTTTAACATTTAGTCATTTTTTTCATTTTAAAAAATTTCAATAGGTTTTTGGGAAACAGGTGGTGTGTGTTTACCTGGATAAGTTCTTTAGTGATGATTCCTGAGACTTTGGTGCACCCATCACCTGAGCAACATACACCTCACCCAATTTGTAGTCTTTTATCCCTCACCTCCCTCTCACCCTTTCCCCTGAGTCCCCAAAGTCCATTGTATCATTCTTACGCCTTCGCGTCCTCATAGCTTAGCTGCCTGGTATGAGTGAGAACATAAGATGTTTGATTTTCCATTCCTGAATTACTTCACTGAGAATAATCATCTCCAATTTCATCCAGGTTGCTGCAAATGCCATTAGTTTTTTCCTTTTTATGGCTAAGTTGTATTCCATGGTGTATGTGTATGTACGTATATACATATATATATATATCTACAGATAGATAGATCAATATATAGAGATAGAGATATATATGCCACATTTTCTTTATCCACTCTTTGATTGATGGGCATTTGGGCTGGTTCTATATTTTTTGCAATTTTGAATGGTGCTGCTATAAACTTGTGTGTGCAAGTAGCTTTTTCGTATGATTTCTTTTCCTCAGGGTAGATACCCAGGAGTGGGATTGCTGGATCAAATGGTAGATCTATGTTTAATTCCTTAAGGAATCTCCAGACTTTTCCATAGTGGTTGTATTAATTTACATTCCCATCAACAGTGAAAAAGTGTTCCCTTTTCACCACATCCACACCAACATCTAACATTTTTTTTGATTTTTTGATTACGGCCATTTATGCAGGAGTAAGGTGGTATCACATTGTGGTTTTGATTTGCATTTCCCTAATAACGATGTTGAGCAGTTTTCATATGTTTGTTGGCCATTTGTGTATCTTCTTTTGAGAATTTTTAATTCATGTCCTCAGCCCACTTTTTGATGGGATTGTTTGCTTTCTTCTTGCTGATTTGTTTGAATTCCTTGTAGTTTCTGGATATCAGTCCTTTGTCTAATGTAAAGATAGTGAAGATTTTCTCTGACTCTGTGGGTTGTCTGTTTACTCTGCTGACTATTTCTTTTGCTGTGCAGATGCTTTAAGTTTAATTAAGTCTCATCTATTTTTCTTCATTTCTGCTGCATTTGCTTTTGGGTTCTTGGTCATGAAGTCTTTGCCTAAGCCAATGTCTACAAGGGTTTTTCTAATGTTATCTTCTGGCATTTTTATGGTTTCAGGTCTTAGATTGAAGTATTCCATGCATCATGAGTTGATTTTTGTATAAGGTGAGAGATGAGGATCCAGTTTCATTCTTCTACATGTGGCTTGTCAATTATCCCAGCACCATTTGTTGAATAGGATGTCCTTTCCCCACTTTATGTTTTTGTTCGTTTTGTGTAAGACCAATTGACTGTAAGTATTTGGCTTTATTTCTGGGTTCTCTGTTCTGCTCCACTGGTCTACATGCATATTTTTATACCAGCACCATGCTGTTTTGGTTACTATGGGCTTATAATATAGTTTGAAGCTGGGTAATGTGATGCCTCCAGATTTGTTCTTTTTGCTTAGTCTTGCTTTGGCTATGTAGGCTCTTTTTTTGGTTCCATATGAATTTTAGGATAGCTTTTTCTAGTTCTGTGAAGGATGATGTTGGTATTTTGATGGGTATTACCTTAAATTTGTAGATTGCTTTTGGCAGTATGGTCATTTTAATAATATTGATTCTACCCATCCATGTGTATGAGGTGTGTTTCCATTTGTTTGTGTCGTCTATAATTTCTTTCAACAGTGTTTGGTAGTTTTCCTTGTAGAAGTCTTTCACCTCCTGGGTTAAGTGTACTCCCAAGTATTTTTTTTTTTTCCAGCTATTGTAAAAGAGGTTGAGTTCTTGATTTGATTCTCAGCTTGGTTGCCGTTCATGTATAGCAGGGCTACTGATTTGTGTACATTAATTTTGTATCCTGAATCTTTGCTGAATTTATTGATCAGTTCTAGGAACTTTTGGATGAGTCTTTAGGGTTTTCTAGGTATATGATTATGTCATCAGCAAAGAGCGATAGTTTGACTTCCTCTTTACTGATTTGGATGCCCTTTATTCCTTTCTCTTGTCTGATTGCTCTGGCTAGGACTTCTAGAACTATGTTCAATAGAAGTAGTGAAAGTGCACATACTTGTCTTGTTCCAATTCTTAGGGGGAATGCTGTCAGCTTTTTCCCATTCAGTATAATGTTGGCTGTGGGTTTTTTGTAGATGGCTTTTATTACCTTAAGGTATGTCCTTTCTATGCAAATTTTGCTGACAGTTTTAATCATCAGGGGATGCTGGATCTTGACAGGTGCTTTTTCTGTGTCTATTTAGATGATCATCTGATTTTTGTTTTTAATTCTGTTTATGTGGTATATCACATTTATTGACTTCCAGATGTTAAACAATCCCTGCATCCCTGGTATGAAATCCACTTGATCATGCTGTATTATCTTTTCGATATGCTGTTGGATTTGATTAGCTAGTATTTTGTTGAGAATTTTTGCATCTGTGTTCATCAGGGATATTGGTCTGTAGTTTTCTTCTTTTGTTATGTCCTTTTTTGGTTTTGGTATTAAGGGGAAACTAGCTTCACAGAATGATTTATGAAGGCTTCCCTCTTTATCTTGTGGAATAGTGTGAATAGAATTGGAACCCATTCTTCTTTGAATGTCTAATAGAATTCAGCTGTGAATTCATCTGATCCTAGACTTTTTTTGTTGGTAACTTTTAAATTACCATTTCAGACTTGCTGCTTGTTATTGGTCTGTTCAGAGTTTCTATTTCTTCCTGATTTAATCTAGGATGGCTGTATATTTCCAGGAATTTATTCATTCCCTCAAGTTTTTCTAATTTATGCATGTAAAGGTGTTCATAGCAGCTTTGAATGATGTTTTGTATTTCCGTGGTATCGGTTGTAATATCTTCCATTTCATTTCTAATTGTGCTTATTTGGTTTTTCTCTCTTCTTGGTTAATCTCCCTAATGGTCTATCAATTTTATTTATCTTTTCAGAGAACCAGCTTTTTGTTTCATTTATCTTTTGTATTTTTTTTGTTCCAATTTCATTTAGTTTTGCTCTGATCTTTGTTATTTCTTTTCCTCTGCTGGGTTTGGGTTTGGTTTCTGTTTTTCTAGCTCCTTGAGGTGTGACCTTAGATTGTCTAACTGTGCTCTTTCAGACTTTTTGATGTAGGCATTTAATGCTACGAACTTTCCTCTTAGCACCAATTTTGCTGTATCCCAGAGGTTTTGATGGGTTGTGCCACTATTATTCAGTTCAAATACTTTTTTAATTTCCATCTTGATTTCATTGTTGACCCAGTGATCATTCAGGATCAGGTTATTTAATTTCCATGTATTTTCATGGTTTTGAGGGTTCCTTTCGGAGTTGATTTTCAACTTTATTCCACTGTGGTCTGGGAGATTACTTGCTATAATTTCAGTTTTCTTAAATTTGTTTAGACTTGTTATGTGGCCTATCATATGGTCTATCTTGGAGAATGTTCCATGTGCTGATGAATAGAATGTATATTCTTCAGTTATTGGGTAGAATGCTCTGTAAATATTGTTAAGTCCATTTGTTCTAGGGTATAGTTTAACTCCATTGCTTTTTTGTTGACTTTCTGTCTTGATGACCTGTCTAGTGCTGTCAGTGGTGTATTAAAGTCCCCAACTATTATTGTGTTGCTGTCTATCTCATTTCTTAGGTCTAGTAGTAATTGTCTTATAAATTTGGGAGCTCCAGTGTTAGGTACATATATATTTAAGATTGTGATATTTTCCTGTTGGACTAGTCCTTTTATTATTATATAATGTCCCTCTTTGTCTTTTTTAACTGTTGTTGCTTTAAAGTTTGTTTTGTCTGATATAAGAATACCTACTTCTGTTCTCTTTTGGTGTCCATTTGCACAGAATAACTTTTTCCACCCCTTTACCTTAGGTTTATGTGAGTCCTTATGTGTCAGGTGAGTCTCTTGAATACAGCAGATACTTGTTTGGCGAATTCTTATTCATTCTTCCACCCCTTTACCTTAGGTTTATGTGAGTCCTTATGTGTCAGGTGAGTCTCTTGAATACAGCAGATACTTGTTTGGCGAATTCTTATTCATTCTTCCACCCCTTTACCTTAGGTTTATGTGAGTCCTTATGTGTCAGGTGAGTCTCTTGAATACAGCAGATACTTGTTTGGCGAATTCTTATTCATTCTGCCGTTCTGTATCTTTTAAGTGGTGCATTTAGGCCATTTACATTAAATGTTAGTATTGAGATGTGAGGTAGTGCTCTATTCATCATGATATTTATTGCCTTAACACTTTAGTTTTTATTTTGTGTTATTGTTTTGTAGGTCTTGTGAGGTTTATGCTTCAAGAATATTCTATTTGGGTGTATTTCAGGGCTTTGTTTTAAGATTTAGTGCTTCTTTTAGCAGGTCTTGTAGTCCTGGCTTGGTAGCAGTGAATTCTCTCAGCATTTGTTTGGAAAAGACTGCACTTTCCTTTATTTATGAAGCTTAGTTTTGCTGAATACAAAGTTATTAGTTGATAATTGTTTCATTTAAAGAGGCTAAAGATAGGACTCCAATCCCTTCTAGCTTGCAGGGTTTCTGCTGAGAAATCTGCTGTCAATCTGATAGGTTTTTCTTTACAGGTTACCTGATGAATTTGTCTTACAGCTCTTAAGATTCTTTCCTTTGTCTTGACTTTTGATAACCTGATGACTATGTGCCTAGGTGATGATCTTTTTACGATGTATTTCCCAGGTTTTCTTTGAGCTTCCTGTATTTGGATTTCTAGATCACTAGCAGGGCCAAGGAAGTTTTCCTTGATTATTCCTTCAAATATGTTTTCCAGACTTTTAGATTTCTCTTCGTCCTCAGGATCACCAATTATTCTTAGGTTTGGTCATTTAACATAATCCCAAACTTCTTGGAGGCTTTGTTCATTTTCAAAAATTCCTTTTAGTTTGTCTTTCCAAGTATTGTCTTTGTCTGATTGGGTTAATTTGAAAGCCTTGTCTTCGAGCTCTGAAGTTCTTTCTTCTACTTGTTCAATTCTATTGCTGAGAGTTTCCAGTGCATTTTGCCATTCTTTAAGTGTGTCCTTCATTTCCAGAAGTTGTCATTGTTTTGTATTCATGCTGTTTCACTGGAGATTTTTCCACTCATATCCTGTATCATTTTTTTGATTTCTTAATTTGGACTTTGCCTTTCTCTGATGCCTCCTTGATTAGTTTAATAGTCAACCTTCTGAATTCTTTTTCTGGCAATTCAGAGATTTTGTCTTGGTTTAGATCCATTGCTGGTAAGCTAGTGTGATCTTTTGGGGTGTTGAAAAACCTTGTTTTGTCACATTACCATAATTGTTTTTCTGGTTCCTTCTCATTGGGTAGCCTATGTCGGGGGAAGTTCTGGGACTCAAGGGCTGCTATTCAAATTCTTTTGCCCCACAGGGTGCTCCCTTGATGTGGTGCTCTCCTCTTTTCCCTGGGGATGGGGCTTCCTGAGAGCCAAACTACAGGGATTTTTATTTTACTTCTGGATTTAGCCACCCCACAGAGCTACTGGGCTCCAGGCTGGTACTGGGGAGTGTCTGCAAAGAGTCCTGTAATGTGTTCCGTTTTCAGGTCTTTCAGCATGAAAATCAGCACCTGCTCCAGTGGAGGTAGCGGGGGAATGAAATGGACTCTGTGAGGGTCTTTGGTTGTATTTTTGTTAAGTGTGCTGGTTTTGTGTTGGTTGGCCTCCCGCCAGGAGGTGGCACTTTCAAAAGTGCATCAGCTGCAGTTGTATAAGGAGGAGACAAACTTGTCCTAGGGTTGCCTTTGGATAAGTATTCAGGTTTCTCAGGTGGTGGGCAGGGCCATAGAGCTCCCAAGGGATTGTGTGCCTTGTCTTTGGCAACCAGGGTGGGTAGAGAAAGCCCATCAGGTGGGGGCAGGGTTAGGCATGTCTGAGCTCAGACTTTCTTTGGATGGGGCTTGCTGCGGCTGCTGTAGGGGATGAGAGTGTGGCTCCCAGGCCAATGCAGTTATGTTCCCAGGGGGATTATCACTGCCTCTGCTGCCTCACACAGTTCACCAGGGAAGTGAGGGAAGGCTGGTAGCCACAGGCCTCACCCGGCTTCCTCACAGCCCACAGCCCAAAAGGCCAGTCTCACTCCCACCGTGCCACCCCCCTCCCCCAGCAGCCCCAAGTTTATTTCCAGGCAGCTGGTGTGGAGGGCTGAGAACTTGCCCCAGGCTACAAGCATCCCAGCTGAGAAAGCAGGCTGACTCACAGTTCCTCAGCTGTCCCACTGAGACTGCAGCATCAATCCACCTCATTTGAAGGGTCTGTGGATTCTCTTGGCTTTCCTGGTATGTTCCTGTAGTAGTTCATGGAGCAAAATTCAAGAAGTAGGTCTCCACATGCTGCTCAGTTTGTCCGAGTGGGAGCTGCAAAATAGTCCTGCCTCCTATCTGCCATTTTCTTAATAAGCAGCCTACATTTAGTCCTTAATTCTTATCTGGAATAATCTTAACACTAGAAAAGCAGCAAAAATATTATTTCATTTAAAAATTATTACATAGTTATAAACAACATTTATTGGATGATGCATTCTTTTCCCACTGATTTAAAATGAACTATTTATCACAAATTCTTATATGCATTTTGATCTATGTCTAGCCTTTTTTCTTGTTCTATTTATTTAATTTAATATTTTATCATTTTCATACTATTTTTTAAACTTTCAAACTTTACAATATATTTTAATTTCTGATAGGGCATGCTTTCCTGCTTAATTTACATAATATTACACTCCTTTGTTCATAGTAAAGGATCCTTCTATCAGCGTGCTTCTGTTTACTTCCTCCCAGGCTTTGGCCTCTGTTGGCACGCATTTTACCTTTACACATTACAAACCCCGTATACCATGGGCTAGTAACATGTAATAGCAACATATTGTTATTATTTTTGCTTTAAATAATTACCTTTAAAGAGATTTTAAAAATATATTTTATATTTACATGTACATTTGCCATTCTGCAAGTCTTCATTCCTTTGTGTAGATACAGATTTCCATCTGGCATTGTTTCTCTTCTGACTGAAAGACTTTCTTTAACATATCTTGCAACTTGATCTTACATATCTTACAAATTTGTTCAGATCTCTTTTATGTTCTAAAAAGTCCTTAACCTTTAGTTTGAAAATTTGTTTCTTCTGTGCATAGAATTCCACATTCACACAACTTTTTTTTTTCTTTGAGGCAGAGTCTTGCTCTGTCACCCAGGCTGGAGTGCAATGGTGCAATCTCGTCTCACTGCAACCTCCAGCTCCCAGGTCAAGCAATTCTACTGCCTCGGCCTCCCGAGTAGCTGGGACTACAGGCATGCACCACCATGCCCAGCTGATTTTTGTATTTTTAGTAGAGACAGGATTTCACTGTGTTGGCCAGGCTGGTCTCAAACTCCTGACCTCAGGTGATGCACCCACCTCAGCCTCCCAAAGTGCTGGGAGACAAAATTTTCCTCACCGTCTTTCAATGCTTTAAAATGTTATTTCACTGTTTTATTATTTCCAACAGAAAGTCTCCCATTATTCTTATCTTTGTTTTTCTGTATTATACGTCTTTTTTCTTACACTGCTTTGTCTCCAGGATCCTGTGTCATCTTGGTGTCCCAACCTGCTCCTTTGTCCTCTCTTAGGATGGCGGTGTTGGGTCTGGCCTCCCCAGCTGTAGAGGAGGATGTAGCCTAAGCCAGGCCCCACCCTTCTTTTTCCCTGTTTCACCCCCAACCCCTGGTGAGCACCATATCTCTAAATTTG
Source organism: Homo sapiens (assembly GCF_000001405.40). Lineage (NCBI taxonomy): Eukaryota > Metazoa > Chordata > Mammalia > Primates > Hominidae > Homo > Homo sapiens. The sequence goes on along the minus strand of NC_000004.12, from coordinate 155,550,716 downwards.
CCCAGAGTGAGACATTTACTGAAATAGTAAAAGTAATTGTTTAAAGAGAAAAAAAAAGGGGGGGGATCTCTTTATCTCTATTTTTTAGCATTTTGATTATGATGTGCCTTAGTGCAACTGTTCTTCATGACAGGCTTTTTTAATTAGGTACTAGGGGTTTCTTTGAACTTCTCAGACAAGAATCCTTATAGTTTTCATCAAATTGTAAAAATTTCCAGCTACTATTTCTTTAAATATGTTTTCTCACCTCCCCACCTTTCTTTTTATTTTTTTTATTTTATTTTTTGAGACAGAGTTTCGCTCTTGTCACCCACGCTGGAGTGCAGTGGCGCGATCTCGGCTCGCTGCAACCTCCGCCTCCCGTGTTCAAGCGATTCTCCTGCCTCAAGCTCCTGAGTAGCTGGGATTACAGGTGCCCACCACCACGCCCAGCTAATTTTGTGTATTTTTAGTAGAGACAGGGTTTTGTCATGTTGGGCAGGCTATTCTCAAACTCCTGACCTCAGGTGATTCGCCCGCCTCGGCCTCCCAAAGCACTGGGATTACAGGCATGAGCCACTGCACCCATACTGTTTTCTCACCTCCCCACCTTTTTTGGAGAGTTCAATTACATATATATTAGACTGATTTAAATTGTCGCACAGCTCACTGACACACTGTTTTTTTTTTTTAATTTCTTTTCGCATTTTACTAAATACTGCCTACTTCTTCAAATTTACTGATCTTTCCTTCTGTAGTGTCTAATCTGCTGGTAATCTTCTCCACTGTATTTTTTATTTCAGATGTATTTTTCATCTCTAGAAATTGGATTTTGATTTTTTATATCCATTTATCTCATTATGTTAATGTTTTTTTATACTGCCTTGATCATATGCAGTATGTTCTTAATAGGCATTATAACATCTACTAATTTTATCCTGGTTCTGTTTTACTGATTGATATTTCTCCAGATTATGCATATTTTCCTGCTTTTGGAGGGCATGTCTGCTAATTATGGTTTCAGATTTTGCAAATAAAAATACAGTTAAATTTGAGTTTCAGATAAGTAACTGTTAAGTACTGAAAGTTTATTCCCCTCCACCTCCAATTTATATGTTGAAATATTAACCTTCAATATGATGGTATTAGGAGGTGAGGACTTTGGGAAGTGATTAGGTAGGTCATGAGGATGGAGTCTTATGAATGGGATTAGTGACCTTATAAAAGAAATTCCAGATAGCACTCTAGCCGTCTTTCTGCAATGTGAGGATACAAAGAGAAATTGGTAGTTTTTCAGTCTAGAACAGGGCCCTGACCAGAACCTGATATTCTGGCACTTTGATCTCAGACTTCCAGCCTTCAGAACTGTGAAATATATATTGCCATTGTTTTAGTCTATGACACTTTGTTATATTAGTCTGAACAGACTGAGACAGAAACACAATGTTTTAGTATGAACATGTTCCATGAAATATTTGAGACATGCTTATACTAGAAAGATATATATTGTTTTTAAGAAATTGAAATTTAACTAGATTTTCTGTGTTTTATTTGGCAGTCATCATTCTGGTAATTTTTTTTTTTTTTTTTTTTTTTTTTTGCCAGATGTAAAATTGACATTGTTGTGTGCTGTACTATTTATATTTTTAAAAATATTTTGGGCCAGGTATAGTGGCTTACGCCTGTAATCCCAGCACTTTGGGAGGCCGAGGCGGGTGGACCACGAAGTCAGGAGTTCAAGACCAGCCTGTCCAAGATGGTGAAACCCCGTCTCTACTAAAAATACAAAAAAATTAGCCAGGTGCAGTGGCACGTGCCTGTAATCCCAGCTACTTGGGAGGCTGAGGCAGGAGAATCGCTTGAACTCAGAAGGCGGAGGTTGCAGTGAGCTGAGATTGCACCACTGCACCACTGCACTCCAGCCTGCGCCACAGAGTGAGACTCCGTCCCCCGCTCCAAAAATAAAAAAGTAAAAAAAAAAAAAAAATATATATATATATATATATAAAACTGTTTTCTGAGATTTAGTTAAATTACTCGGAACCAGTTTGAGACTTTTGGGGTTTGCTTTCAGGTGTTGTCAAGGTGGATCAGACACAGCTACTAATCTAAGGCTAATTCGGTTCCCCTTCTGAAAAAAAACATCCTTCTAAGGTTTCTACTCAATGCCCTGTGTGTTAAGAAATCTTTCCATTCTGGCTAATGAGAACCAAAACTTTCCCCAATCCTTCATCATGATTATTCTACTGACTCCTTTCCAGTGGTCACTCCCTCCAACCCACCCCTGGGTTTAGTAGTTTCCTCATATACAGGAAGTGATCAGTACTCAAAGACACAAGGGGTGTCTCTGTGGAATTCTGGAACTTACCATCTGTGTGACACCTTTTCTCCAGAGCTCCACCGCATAAATTCGAGCTGCCTTGACCTCCATGAACTCAGAGCTCAGTCTCTTTACTTATTGAAGCTTTTGGCTTTGTTTGGAAGTCCTGATTCTTGTGCTGGAATTTGAAAATTCCAGGCAGTAAGTTGGAACATGTGTTGGGCTGCAAACTGGGAACTCTCTCCAGGCAGTGAGTTGGGACACTTGTTGGGTTCACTTGCTTTGTTTTCCTGGCCTGTACTACCTGTCATCCAGTGATCTAAAATTGTTATTTCATATATTTTATTTTTTTCTTATTTGTTTAAGCCAAGAATGTAAACTTAGTAACTGTTATTTTAACATGGTGAGAATCAAAAGTTTTTTGAATTTTAATCAGAAACATTATATTTTTATAATAATTTAGGAACATTGATTATCATTATAATATTAAGACTTCCCATTTAGTAATATGTTAAAAAGTTTAATTTATTCAAGCCTTTTAGTATCTTGCAGGTAAGCTGAACTTCATATGGGTTCTGCATATCTCCAACTAAAATTATTCAAATGTATTAAATGCTTTTTTATTGTTATATAATAGTTAATGAGGTATTTTGCATTTATATTTCTAATAAATTTTTGTCATCATATTAGAAAACGACTGATGTACATATTTTGTTACTGGACAAGTTCCTTCACCATGCATTTTCATTTTTAGTAGTTTTATAATTATCATTTAGATTTTGAAAATAAAACAAATTCTACCGTTTATGCTTCTGTCTGTAGTATGACTATCTCTCTTGCTGCTCATTGAGTGTTTGTTATGTGCCAGTTACTGAGGTATGCTCAAAAACTGCCTAATTTATTCTTATCAAAACCTTACGAGGTAGTTACTATGCTCCTCACTGAAAGTTAACTAAGGCTCAGAGAGTTATTAATTGCCAAAATATAGACAACTAATAAGGGATAGAGACAATAATTTACCTAACTTGCTGGATTGAAATAGTGTACTATTGTGTTTTAAAAATGCTTATAATTTAAAAAAATTATAACTTTATCTTTTTTTTTGAGACGGAATCTCACTCTGTCACCCAGGCTGGATTGCAGTGGCGCGATCTTGGCTCACTGCAAACTCCACCTCCCAGGTTCATGCCATTCTCCTGCCTCAGCCTCCCAAGTAGCTGGGACTACAGGCGCCCGCCACCATGCCTGGATAATTTTTTGTATTTTTAGTAGAGACGGGGTTTCACTGTGTTAGCCAGGATGGTTTCGATCTCCTGACCTTGTGATCTGCCCACCTTGGCCTCCCAAAGTGCTGGAATTACAGGTGTGAGCCACCGTGCCCGGCTTATCTCTTTTTTTAACACTAAAATTCTGTTATATTTTTCTTATTTTATTAGATCAACTGGAAATTCCATATCAAAATTAATGTATAGTTTTGGTAGAAGGCATTATGAGTATCTTCTTGACTTTAATGAGTATGTCGATAGTGATAATAACAATTATAATAATAATGGTTATCATTATGGTAGAGGTAATGTTACCTCACAACATTATTCCAACCAAAACAAGACATAATAAAAAGAATAAGGTTCCAAAATGAGAGTCACATGGTTTTAATCTAATTTTGATAGTATGTTGGAAAGTAGGTGATGTGTAATTCTTTACCCCTTGACTGTGGGCCTGGACTGTGTGACTCATTTAACATGACATAACCAAAATGTTGCACAGTGTTTTTATGATGGGCTTGATGATGTGGGCCTCTGTCATCATCACAGAACTTGCCCCAGTTGCCCTCCGATTGTAGAAGGCCGAGAGATACGCAATGCAGTCTAGAACCACAGCCCCTCAGGGTAAGCAGAGCTATCCCAGCCACTGCAGCCTAAGACATAGCTGCACCAGGCAACCAAGAATAAATGCTTGTCATTTTATAGCACTCAGTGTTGGGATGGTTTGTTATACAGTATGATAACAGGAATAGCTAATTAGTATAAGTATTTCCTTAAAATATTGTTTTCATTTTTTCATTAAATATTTATTAAGCATTTACTCTATGCTGTTGTGATGATAGGTACTAAGTCTGAAATAGTGAACAAGAAAGAGACAATATCTACCCTCATGACACATATTCTCTGGAAGTGTGAGAAAAGTTTTTTGAAAAGTATAATTTTCAACATGAAGAAAAGCAGAAGAGCCCATTAAAAAAAATCTTATTTTCGCAGTGTTGTCAGAATTGTTTTGAAATTTAAATATGCAAATAATATTAGAGAAGTAGAACTACTCAGAGGAAAAATGGTTGAAAAGGTTGGCAATCAATTTACTAAGAAAATTTGAAAAATTATTTTGACTTAAGTAATGTTAGTTTGGATTAGAGGAATGAAGATATAAACCTACGAAACATCCATATGAGGCTGTTCTTATTGGAACCTTGTGTAGCTATGTACCAGTCTATATAAATAAATGTGTAACATATATAAAATATGCGTACATGAATACATATATCACAAAACACATCATTTTATAAACATAAGAGAAAATAATACATATAAGGAAAATATATGGAGAAAATGAAATCAATAATGAAAATGAGCTACTGTGCATAGTCTATTCCTCATAAATTCTCATAAGATAATTTGCACAGTCCTGCAATGTGCTATTTAGTTAAAATTGCCTTTGGAAGGATGTGGAAGTGTGCCAAACTGAGATCTAGATATAATTAAAGGAAGCTGCTTCTCGTTCCTGTCATATAAATCTTCTGTAGAACACTGTTGGTTGTTATGTAAGAATTGTTAATATTCTTAATTCCATCAAAGTATCACACAAATGAAAACTCGCTTTAGATGTGGAGGACAAAACTTGCCACTCCCCTTGTCTGGGATACCAGCTCTGGTGGCCTGTATTCATGCTTGACTAAAATGATATGATACTGCCTGCAAATGATACTTTTCCATGGCAGAGATCCACATTCTAGCTGCACCAAACCCATACAAATGTGGTCCCTTATTCAAAAACCGGGAAAAAAAAGCTCTTTCTTCCTTCTGCATTCTACAAGTATCTTTGGATATGTTATTGTATTTTTTATCTGTTATTTAGCGTCATGCTCCGTGGACATGGGGATACTCAGCAGTTAAGTGCAGATCACTACAGACTCCTGGGGCCCTTGCACACCTGCCCTAACCTTCCCTGTTCCCACGCTCAGGCCCCTACTGGGGGCAGAGGGCAGCAGTGGTTGCTGGGGAGCAGGTAACCAAAAGCCCATTACAGAGAGACAGAAAGGCAGCAATGGAAAGTGTGCCAGTAGGAGGCGGGACATGCATGAGCGGAGGTTTTAAGCCCCTAGCAAATGCTTGATTGTCCCATTAGCTGTCACTTACAAAACACAAATTCAAAGATAAAATTATTAAGAATTTCAAGAATGAGACAGAAAGGCATTAAACCTCAAGAAAGGGGCCTGCTTCTGCGTGTGAGGTTTTGAGCTAGAGCTCTGTCCGCTGGACCTGTGAAGTGGGCCCTGGGGTGCGATTGTCTCAGAAACTGAAGTTTCTGTCCCTGCCCTAGCCCTTGACATTGATGTCCAGCTCTGCAGCTTGGCAGTGCACTCTAACAGTTATTTCTCAACTGCAGCTGCTGGAAATTAGGCCATCCCCACCCCCAGCTGGTATCCTCTAGCTCTGGGTTCCTGAGCTTTTTGTCTACAGATGGAGCGGGGACGAGTGCTCTGTATCCTGAGTTCCCCAGCATCCTGCCCCTGTTCTCAGCTGCTCCTCCACCACCGACCAGAATAAAATTCAGAGGTCAGCTGGCTCCTGTGTTGTGCTTTCTCCTTCAGGGTAACTGTAGCTAAAATTTCTAGGCTCATAGGGATACACCCCTCTCTACAGCTGTATTCAGTGTGTGATTTGGAGCAAATCATATCTACTTCTCCAGATAGCTAATTTCAGCAGAGATCAACTATCCCATTTTTAGTGAGAACTTCAAGCCCATTATGTGGTTTATATCTTTAGCTTTATCATCAAGGCCACCTATGCAGCTTATACAGTTTCTCTGGGGTTGGGAGTGCTATAGTCTGTATATTCGTTTTCCTCCAAAATTAATATGTTGAAATCTAAGCCTTAATATGTTGTTATGAAAAAGTGGGGCATTTAGGAGGTGATTAGGTCATGAGGGCTCCACCTTTGTGAATGGGATTGGTGTCCTTACAAAAGAGGCTGAAGGGGAATGTTTGTTCTTTGGATCCACAACATGAGGACCCAGCCAGAAGTGCCATCTTTGAAGCAGAGAGCATGCCCTCTCCAGACACCAAATCTGCTGGCGCCTAGATCCTATACTTCCCAGCCTCCAGAATTTTGAGCAATAAATTCGTTTTTTCTTTTTCTTTTCTTCTTCTTTTTTTTTTTTTGAGACAAAGTCTTGCTCTGTTACCCAGGCTGCAGTGCAGTGGCACGAGCTCGACTCACTGCAACCTCCGCCTCCCAGGTTCAAGTGATTCTCCTGCCTTAGCCTCCTGACTAGCTGGGATTACAGGCACAAACCACCACACCTGGCTAATTTTTGTATTGTTAGTAGAGATGGGGTTTCACCATGTTGGTCAGGCTGGTCTGGAACTCCTGACCTCATGATCCACCTGCCTCGGCCACCCAAAGTGCTGGGATTACAGACATGAGCCACCACACCCGGCCTGAGCAATAAATTTCTATTGCTTACAAAGCATCCAGTGTAAGGTATTTTGTTATAACAGCCTGAATGGACTAAGACAGGAAGTGAGGGGAAGGCTAGAAATTAATGGCTCTCAAAGAGTCACATCCTGCAACAGCTGAGTCAGACCAAGAAGCTCAGTTCAGGCCAAGCTGGGTGGGATCCTTTATTTGAGTGCATCTATTCTACAATCTTCCATGTGATCAGCTGTAAGTGTTGGATCTACCACTTGAGAGCAGAGTTTCAGGGGACAGAGGAAAGAGGACATCCTGACAGTTCATCTGACCCGTGAATACTGAGAATATTCAGCTCTGGAAAGGCCAACTGTAGGGAGCAGTGGGAAGATGCAGGAGCTGAGATTCAGTCAAAGGCTTGCAATCCTGGAGACACAGATTGCAAAAGCCCTGTCCACAGCAAGGGCTGGATAGAAATTTATCTCTGGTAAAAGAGTCTTTGCCAAAGTATTTTGCTTTATGAATTCACCATCATAGCCAGCCACTCTCTCTTTTTATTTATTTTTATTTATATTATTATTACTTTTTTGAGAAAGAGTCTTGCTCTGTCGCCCAGGCTGGAGTAAAATGGCACGATCTCGGCTCACTGCAACCTCCTCCTCCCAGGTTCAATCAATTCTCCTGCCTCAGCCTCCCAAATAGCTGGGATTACAGACGTCCACCACCACGCCTGGCTAATTTTTTGTATTTTTAATAGAGACAGGGTTTCGCCATGTTGGCCAGGCTGGTCTTAACCCCCTGACCTCAGATGATCCACCCGCCTTGGCCTCCCAAAGTGCTGGGATTACAGGCGTGAGCCACTCAAAAAATAATAATAATGTGAAAAAATACCTAGATATTACCTACACTTCCTCTACCCTCTGCCTGAAGGAGGGTAGCTTAAATATGTGAAATAGTATGAGCTCCCAGAGCAAGCAACACTGCTCACTCAGGGTTTGGGAAGGCGCACAAGCAGAGGTCTTTTAGCAAGATGCTGCCATGCCCCTTTAGTGGTTGCTGTAGACACACCCAGAGATGGGGAAGGAGGTCATGATTGCTTATATTAGGTTGGTGCAAAAGTAATTGCGGTTTTTGCCATAGGTATTTTTCCTATGGCAAAATCGCAATTAATTTTGCACCCACTTAATATTACTTTGCTCACCAGAACTACTATGGGTTTGTGGTGAAATTCAATTACAAGATCTTTTTTATTAAGATATAAACAGATATATTTCTTCCATAAGTGTGGAGATACCAAGATAAAAAGGCAAGAAACAAGAAGAACAAAAGAAGGGGACATTGGGCAGAATATCCTTGGATGTTACTCATTTTTCCTGAGTGCATGTATGTAGTTAGTTATATTTTAGATAGGTTTGCAACAACCCTGACAGACGTTTCTTGAGAACAGTGACCATATTTGTATTAGTTTGCTAGGCTACCATGACTGAAACACAGAAATTACTGTCTCACAGTTCTGGAGGCTAGATGTCTGGAATCAGGTTGTCTGTGGGGTTGGTGCCTTCTGAGGCCTGTGAAGTTCTGTGTCTCTCCTGTAACTTGTGGTGTTTTGCTGGGGATCTTTGGCATCCTTTGGCTTCTCTGTTGCATCACCCACATCTCTGCCTTCATCTTCACATGGAGCTCTCCCTGTGTGCTGTCTATGTCCAATCACCCCTTTTTAAAAGAGCGCCAGTCATGTTGGATTAGGGGCTCACCCTACCCCGGTATGATCTCATCATAACTAATTTCATCTGCAAGAGCCCTATTTCCAAATCAGGTCCCATTCTGGGTACTGGAGGTTAGGATTTCAACATATGCATTTGGTGGTGGTGGAGAGGACAAATTAATGCATAACAGTAAACTACTTAACCTATCTGCTTTTCGGAGATGAATCATTAGACAGTGGTGCCAGTGGTCTCAGATTTCATTTAGTAGATTTTCATGAGTTCCCTTAGGAATCCAGCTTAGCCATTTCCCAGGGGACATCGAGGTCTTTTATTCTGTAAACCCAGGGGAATCTCAAACCTCTCCCGACCTAACAGGGTAGTAGGGGTGTCCAGCAAAAATAGCTTCTTCTTTCTGAGCCATTCCAGAGGACGCTAGTTCCATCAGTCTTTGTTTCTCTTTTCTTTTTTTTCTTTTTCTTTTTTTTTTTTTTTGAGATGGAGTATCGCTCTGTTTCCCAGACTGGAGTCCAGTGGCGTGATCTCAGCTCACTGCAAGTTCCGCCTCCCAGGTTCGTGCCATTCTCCTGCCTCAGCCTCCTGAGCAGCTGGGACTACAGGCGCCCTCCACCACACCTGGCTAATTTTTTGTATTTTTAGTAGAGACAGGGTTTCACCGTGTTAGCCAGGATGGTCTCTATCTTCTGACCTTGTGATCCGCCCGCCTCGGCCTCCCAAAGTGCTGGGATTACAGGCGTGAGCCACCGCGCCCGGCCTCTCTTTTCTTGAATATTACAAAAATCTTAACCTAGCCAGGCGCAGTGGCTCATGCCTGTAATCCCAGCACTTTGGGAGGCTAAGGAGGGTGGATCACCTAAGGTTAGGAGTTGGAGACCAGCTTGGCCAACATAGTGAAACCCTATCTCTACTAAAAATACAAAAAGTTAGCTGGATGTGGTGGCGGGCACCTGTAATTCCAGCTACTCGGGAGGCTGAGGCAGGAGAATGGCTTAAACCAGGGAGGCGAACGTCACAGTGAGTCGAGATCACGCCATTGCACTCCAGCCTGGGCAACAAGAGTGAAACTCCGTCTCAAAAAATAATAATAAAATAATAAAAAAATTAAAATAAAATAAAAAATCTTAACCTAATTCCAAAAGAATATAATGCTTTTAATTTATAATTTTTATTATAAATTAAAATCTTGAAAATAGTATTAAGTTGGAAGTATTAATTTATTATAAATTAAAGTCTTGAAAATAGTATTAAGTTGAAAGTGGAAGCCACAGTGTTCTCATAATTGCTCTAACAAGACTTCATGAACTTTATCTTTTCCATAAATAATTATTCTATGCACAATACATTTCTACAATAACATATTACATGAACTATAAAATGAATAACTCCCGATATGTGTTCTTTTATAATCTGAAAATCAAATTGAAAATTGACCATGAAAGGCTTTGAGCTAAAAGAAATCATTTGGCAAAATGGAATGGAAAAGTTTACTTTTATGTTTAAATATCCTTTTAAAAAATGATGCAAAGAATAAAATGATTTGGAAGCAGACATTATAATAGCAAAAATAGGCTTAAAGAGGAAAAGTAAAGAATATCCTGTAAATTTTAGATTTTAGGTAGTGGGAGAAATGTATTTTATAGGTAAAAATGTCATTGAGCATTGCATTCCAATCAATTTCTATACAACTTGTTCCTGAAATGACTGTCAACAGGGCGTATTTAGTTCCATACTCACTTTTGAAAAGTAAGATTGATGGTTCAGTTACTGAAATATGTGGGAAGAGGGGTTGGAAGAGCAAGAGATTCATTTCCTGTCAGAATTTTTTGTAGTTATGTACCCAAACTGGTAAGTCAGGACAGGTGTGAGAAAATAAGGGGGCACCAAGAACAGGATCTAGGCTCCACAGGGTTTGGGAATGGGCATATATCAGTCAAAGCCTTCAGTCCTCCTGACGACTCACTACAATAGAAAGTTGGACAGCCCTGGATTCCCAGATCTCGGTGAAATGTGAAGTGGATATTGCAAAAAACTTAGGGAGTATTTACAAGATCAGGAGGTAAGAAAAACATCTATCAATGACTCAGGCATAAGAAGCAAGCCAGGGCCAAAGATTTTACAAAAGCTTGTTGACAAAACCCCATCCAAGTTGTCTGGGGCCTAAAGCTGCACAATACAATTGGAAGGATGGTTTTCTTTTTAAAAAGAACGCAAAATTACAAATACAAAAGTAGGTACAAAAGTAAATGTTAGTTTAGAATGACAATAGAAAACATAACCAATTTCCAGAGTCTTAGAGATTCATTTTTTGGAATATTTTCAGTCAACTTACCATAAATGTCTTCTTAGCCATAATCCCTGACTGAAGCTTGGCTTCTCTTCTCATCTAAATTCTGCTAGGCCACCTGACAAATGACACAGCTTGAGGGTTCCAGATAAGGAAGGAGCCCTGAAGTTTAATCCTCCTTAGCTTCTCTAGAAATCCATCTTGTTTGGATCATAAATAGCCAGATTATTATTTTATTTTTTATGTATGAATTTATTTATTTATTTTTTGAGATGGAGTTTCACTCTGTCACCTGGGCTGGAGTGCAGTGGCACGATCTCAGCTCACTGCAACTTCTGCCTCCCAGGTTCAAGCCATTCTTCTACCTCAGCCTCCCAAGTAGCTGGGCTTACAAGTGAGTGCCACCACGCCTGGCTAATTTTTTGCATTTTTAGTACAGATGGGGTTTCACTATGTTGGCCAGGCTGGTCTCGAACTCCTGACCTCGTGATCCACCTGACTCAGCCTCCCAAAGTGCTGGGATTACAGGCATGAGCCACTGCACCCGGCTTGCCAGATTATTATTTTAAAATTGCAGGCAATGACGTTCCAACTCCCGTTAATATTGTGGAATCCTAGATCAATCTAAGTGTTTATCAACAGATGGTTGGATAAAGGAAATATTATATATATATTATATATAGTATATATATTCTATATATAATTATAGTATATATATTCTATATATAATTATATATAGAATATATATACTATACATAATTATATATAGTATATATATAATATATACTATTATATATAGTAATAGTATATATAATCATATATACTATTATATATAGTATATATTATATATAATTATAATATATACTATATATTTTATATATAGTATATATATTTAGTATATATAATTATAGAGTATATATAATATAATAAATAATAATATAATAATGTATATACTATATTATATATAGTATATATATTTTATATATAGTATATATAGTATATATATTTTATATATAGTATATATAGTATATATATTTTATATATAGTATATATAGTATATATATTTTATATATAGTATATATAGTATATATATTTTATATATAGTATATATAGTATATATATTTTATATATAGTATATATAGTATATATATTTTATATATAGTATATATAGTATATATATTTTATATATAGTATATATAGTATATATATTTTATATATAGTATATATAGTATATATATTTTATATATAGTATATATAGTATATATATTTTATATATAGTATATATAGTATATATATTTTATATATAGTATATATAGTATATATATTTTATATATAGTATATATAGTATATATATTTTATATATAGTATATATAGTATATATATTTTATATATAGTATATATAGTATATATATTTTATATATAGTATATATAGTATATATATTTTATATATAGTATATATAGTATATATATTTTATATATAGTATATATAGTATATATATTTTATATATAGTATATATAGTATATATATTTTATATATAGTATATATAGTATATATATTTTGTATATAGTATATATAGTATATATATTTTGTATATATAATTATATATAATTTAGTATATATAATTATATATAGTTAAAATTATATATAATATATAATTAATATCTATATATTTTATATAGTCACACATATTTATATATATTTTATATATTTGTATATAATTATATATTGATAAATTATATCATTGTATATATTATATATTATATACAATTGTATATTATATATTATATGCAATTGTATGTATATTATATTGTATATATATTATATAATTATATATGATTACATATTGTATATATATTATATATTATATTGTATATATAATTTTATTGTATATATTGTATATTCTATATTGTATATATAATTATATATATAGTGAAAGGTGAAGTGTATATATTATATATGATGTATAATATTATATAATTATAATTATACATAACATATAAATATATATTATATATAAACAATAATATATAAATATGTAACATATAAATATATAAAATTATACATATATGCATAATGGAATAACATTTAGCCATAAAATGAAATCATGTCTTTCACAGCATCATAGATAAAACCAAAGGCCATTGTCTTAAGTAAAACAACTCAGAAATGGAAAGAAAAGTACTACATGTTCTCACTGTAAGTGGGAGGTAAGTATTGTGTACATGTGGACATAGAATGTGGACTGGTACACATTGGAGACTCAGAAGGGTGAGGAGTTGGAGATGAGGGATGATAAATCACTTAATGGGTTCAATGTACTTAATTCAAGTGATGGATAAACTAAAAACCCAGACTTAAGCATCACACAATATATCTATGTAACAATATTGCACTTGTACATTTTAAATTTATACCAAAAACAAACTAGAAACCTAGAGACTATCGAGATTAAACAGAGTATTTTTATATCAGTCAAATAGAGTTTATAAAGGTAGGGAATTACCAAGGTTATAAAATCCAGAACTCCTTGCCTGATGCTCTTTGTAGTACAGCCCAGCCTCTCCTCAAGTCTCTTCTCCTGTCAGAACTAGAAGGATATCTTCAAGAATATATGGTCTATTTTGTTTTAGTTTGTTAAACAGCATTAGCTGAGTGATGTCTAGATGTATCTATATATCATTTATCTATCTATCATGTGTCTACCTATCTGTTTATCCTCTCTATCCTGTCATCTGTCTGTCTGTCTATCTATCTATCTATCTCTCTATCTATCACCTATTTAATCTATCTATCCTATCTATCTATATTAGTTTGCTCTCATGCACTAATAAAGACATACCGGAGACTGGGTAATTTATAAAGAAAAGAGGTTTAATTGACTCACAGTTCCACATGGCTGGGGAGGCCTCACAATCATGGCTGAAGGGAAATGAGGAGGAAAGTCACGTCTTACATGTCGGCAGGCAAGAGAGCTTGTGCAGGGGAACTCCTCTTTATAAAACCATCAGATCTCGTGAGACTTATTCACTACCACAAGAACATATGGGAAAGACCCTCCCTCATGATTCAATTACCTCCCACTGGCTCCCTTCCACAACATGTGGGAATTATGAGAGCTACAATTCAAGATGAGATTTGGGTGCGGGAACAGCCAAACCATATCTCTATCTATCTATCTATCTATCTATCTATCTATCTATCTATCTATCTCTCATCTCTCATCTCTCCTATCTATCTACCTATCTGTATATCTATCAATCTATCAATCATCTATTTATCTAATCTATCCTATCTATGGATCAATTGTGTATCAATCAATCATCTCTCTATCTATCTACCTATCCATTCTCCCTATGTATATATTGAGAAGACAGAAATACATCAAAAGCTTTTCCACTTCCTTTCCCCTGAGCATAACAGAGCAGCTGAACAGGTCAGCAAGCGTGGACAATAAATGACTATAAGTCAGCAAGTCTGCCTCACAACTGAGCAATATCTGTTAGTCACTCATAATCTAAATAATATTGAATTAATCTTTGTGAAGTACTTAAGATGTTAAGTGCTAAGATGTTAATCCTATTAATACTAATCCCTATGGATATAAATATGTTTGTGTGAGTTGCATACTATTTTTAGATATAAATGTCACCCAAAACACCTGATTAGTGTCACTATTCTGCATCTCCCTCTAGACAGCCTGACCCAGCTTTATGCCATTGTCATCTTATCTCCCCGTTGCTGTGTGATTTTCAGTCAACCTGACCCTACTGAGTCCTATCTTCAGGTTTAATAGGCTAACTTTATTTGCAAAGCTCTAAATAGTTTTACTTCAGCTTGGTTTTCTGAGATCTGAGCCTCATCACTCTCCTCACACCTTCCTTTCCTTCACTGTAAGAGTTATTTGTTGATGGCATTTCTTGTTTGGCTCACATATCTTGACCTCCGGAGCTAAATCTTTACACTCCTTGTCTCAGAATGAAAGAATTTGACTCAAGTGTCTCATGTTGTGCCTTTTGGGTATAAGAAGATAGCACTGCTGCTTTCAGGATGGTGACTACGTGGTCCACAGTGGTGTTAGCAGAACTGGCTCCTTTCTTTGACTCTGTCTTCTCCAGCCCCTTGTGAATGTGAACTTCTGAGGTGCATCTTTTACAGATCTGAGGCTTTGTTCCTGAGTCTATTTTCCAGTGTCTCAGAGATGCGAATCTATGTCCCAGATGAGAATCTATTTCTTTCTGTGACACAGGCCCTGCTGTTTAATCCTGCTTTCAACGCCAGTCCCACATTGATGCCATAGTCTGCATACTTGCCTTTTAACAGGAAGTTTGCGATGGTCTTATTCTGTTTGTGCCATTCCTGTTACAGTCCTAAATTACCCGCTTGCATTCTTTCGGCAAATATTGATAATACCTCCTAGGAGTTAACACCTCTGAGGTGTTAGGCACTATATTGGACAGACATAATGATAAGCAAAACTTGCCTTGCACACATGAGTTGTATGGACTTTCTTTCTGTTTGTCAACTATCACATGAATTGTATACTAATAAACACTTGAAGAAAGATAATACATTTATATATACTATTTTTATAAACAGTATGTATTTTGGTTAGCTTTATGTTCTGATTACTGTCTGGTTGGCAGATGACCTTTTTCATGTAGCCCTTCATACTTGAATTCTCTGAGTCTCTGTACATTAATAAAAAATGTATTGTACACCTGCTCTTGTCTCTGTGTGAAGCCTATGAATCAAAGTGAAATCACTGCTCTGTAATCTGAGTTGATAGCCTTAGACGATTCCAAGAAGAGGCTAGTTTAATCAAATAAAACATTTTTTTAGAACAATGCCTACAAATCCTATTTTAGAGTTATGAGATTGAATTTAATGGCAGCATAGCAAAAAAAGTAATAGGGAAAGACCTACCGTATAACAGAAATGAGTTGCATAAAGAGATTAACTTAAATTTGCTCGGAAACTGAAAAGTAACCTGTGGGTTTTTTTAACTTTTATAGAAGCAAGAACAGTAAAATTCTATACCAGAGGAGTACTGAGTAATTGTCAGGAATCATGGGAATTTGTTAATCTATTTTTACAGTGATAATACTACCTACCAGCACATCACTGCTAATTATCAACTGAAATGGTACAAAAGGGAACAGTATTCTGCTCACAGATTTATAAATCCAAAATAATATAATTTTTTCCAGGTATTAGAAAGTGCTATGTCAGAATCGTGAAGCAATCACTAAATGAACCAAAGGTGTGATCGGGTGAGAGTCAAGATGGAACTTATGTTTTTAACACTTTGCAACAAGAAGGGATTATTTTTGCTAAATATCTTTAGGGTACATTTTGAAGTATGTTTCAGATGCGTACTCTGCTCTCAAGTCTGCTTCTTCGCCCCAGGGCAATGGAAGCAGTGGGCCTCAGTTCTCTTGTTTGTCCGTTTGGACAGCATGGACATCTGGCCAGGCTTAATAGCTGAGTTGTCCAGATTGGCCTTCTCAGGAATTGGACTAAGACACACTAAAAATTGGACTAGCATTAGATAGTGGATCCTTGGAAATAGAAATGGACAGAGACTTGAGAATAAGGTCATTTGCGGCCATACTGGGGAGAAAGCACAGAGAGACTGCCTGCAGAGGAAACAGGATGAGCTGGGATCAGAGGCAGAGAAAGGAGGTGCTTTGATTCTTTGTGGATTATCTCTTGAGTTCTGGGAGATTCAACCAACCCCACTCCCAAAACCTATTGAATAGTCATGGTAAACCCCACCCTTTTCCATAAGTGGGCATGAGTTAGTTTCTCTTTCTTGTAAATGTCTTTAAGTTCGTTTTTGATGACTAAAACGATAATACGTTCCCAAACTTATCATGTTGATACAAAGAATTCAAAGTTAAGGTGACTGGAATATAGAATTGTTATTAGCTTTCTCTCAGTACCAGCATTTTGGGGGGATTCTGGAATACTATGAAATAAACTAAAGAGGTACTTATACATATTGTCAACAAAAAGAGTCAAACTCTGAGAAATATTTGAAGAGACTTATTCTGAGCCAAATACGAGTGACCAATTGTCCATGACACAGCCCTCAGGGCAGCCTGAGAACATGTGTCCAAGTGGTCAGGGCAGAGCCTAGTTTTATACATTTTAGGGAGAAATGAGACATCAATCAAATATATGTGAGATATAGATTGGTTCAGTCCAGAAATGGGGGACAACTCAAAATGGGGGCTTCCAGGTTATAGGTAGATTTAAAACTTTTCTGACTGGCAATTGGTTGAAATAGTTATTATTGATAGAGAGGAATGTGTAGGTTATGATAAGGAGTTGTGGAGACCAAAGTTTTATCATGCAGATGAAAACTCCAGGTAGCAGGCTTCAGAGAGAATAGACTGTAAATGTTTCTTATCAGATTTAAGGTCTGTGTTGAGTTAAATGCTGGTCGGCTTTTCCTGAATTCCAAAAGGGAGGAGGGCATAATGAAGCATGTTTGACCCTCCATTCCTGTCATGGCCTGAACCAGTTTTTCAGATTAACCTTGAAGTGCCCTGGCTCAGAGGAGGGATCCATTCAAGTGGTTGGGGGCCTTATAATTTTATTTTTGGCTTACAATGTTTATAATAATGAGGGATAAAAAAGGAAATAAACTTTCTCCTTGTATGTGTGGAGCTGTGGATGGATCTGAAACAATGTGTGGCCCATGATGCTCTCAGCTGCCTATCTCCAGTGCACCCCCATAAATACAGTTTCCAGAGCAGCTGGAGGAACAACTGGGACACAAGGAGATTAGTGAATATTCATTAATTTTAGCTGCTGCCAAGGTGAATCTTCCCAAATCCTGATTATGTTTGTTTAAGTGAAACATCTGCCAATAAAAGGGAGGCATGTTTATAGTAACGGCAGCTCCATGGCTTCTGTTCTCTGAATAATCATAATACTGACACTGACTGTATTGCCTTGTCCTTGGCAATTTTCTTTTGTTCTTTTTTTATTATTACAGAGTAATAAACTCTGTAAAGTGAACTTTCTCATGCTACTGGGATTGCTAGCAGTTACAGCAATAAAAGAGCTGTTTGTTGTCTTTCCATTTGGAAAATGGTTGGTGGGAGCAAGGGAAGCACTCAGGAAGCAACCGGGTTTGCTAACATAAACCACACTCGAGCATTTCTGTCCAGAGTTTATACACTAACCAGGGATGAACCAGCTGAGAATTGTGGGAACATGCTGTATATACTCACAGATACGAGCAGCCCAAGTGTGAATTGTCCTGTGTTTTCAATATTTCAGTAACAGTAATAAATATGAAGTCAATGATGAGGAGATAGAGCTGTGGAAGATATGCGAATAGATTTCATCTGTATTTCCTGAGTATTATTGTTTCCATTGTTTATCCATAACTTTATTTGAATAAAAATGGGCTATTATAAGAACATAAAACTTGAGGTCTTCCATGTTTCCATTCAACAAATACCTTAGGGCCCATTTTGTGAAGTATCCTTTCTTGAAGGGTGACTAAGATGAGTCATACATAGTCTCTGGCTTCATGGAAATTTCAGTCTAGTAGAAGTGGAAGAAAGGCAGGTGCATATCTACTTGTTTGTACCAAGCACACAGTCCATATAAATCATCAGGCCAGGCAGTGAGGATACAACAGCAGCTAATAATAACACAAAATGCCACACAATGTGTGGTTTGAAACAAGAGAAATCCACTCTCTCATGGTTCTGGAGACTAGTAGTTGGAAATCAACATGTTGATAGGACCATGCTCCCTCTGAAGCCTCCAGTGAAGGATCCTTCCTTGCCTCTACCAGGCTCTGGTAGCCCCAGGGGTTCCTTGACTTGTGGCAACATAGCCCTGATCTCTGCCTCTGTCTTCACATGGCTGTCTTCCTTATGTGTTTGCATTTTCACATCATCCTCCTCTAAAGACACCAATCATATTTGATTAGGGCACACTCGACTTTGGTATGACCTAATCAGAAATAATTACATCAGTACTGACCCTATTTCCAAATAAATTCATATTCCAAGGTACTGGGGGTTAGTACTTCAAAATATCTCTCTGTGGAGGGACATAATTTAACCCATGACATGGAACACTTAGGGAAATATGCTATGTATAAAAGTGGAACAATCACACGTCTGTAGAAAATAATGAGATATAAAAATAAATGAAGACTTGAAAAAGAATTTTGAACAACTTGAGCCTTAGGTGGACAAGGGAGAGGAAGAGACTTGTAATCCTAGTTATCTGGCCCATCATTGGTGGTCACCTTGAAACCAGTCTTGTTCTGAATTTGAGAATGTTGATCTCTCCCCCCACCCACTAAACACTTCTGTACTTCGTTGCCCGTGAAGTCCACAGTAGAAGGGCCTGGGTCCCTGAGCTCCACTATCAGATCTCCCAAACTGGAGGCTGACCTGCTTGAATTCCTGCCAACACTCTGCCTTGAGAATTTCCTAGTTACTTATTTCAGTTAGAACAGGACTGAAATCCAAGTTGCAGCTGTGCTCAGATCTCACCTTAAAGTACTGAAATGCCATCAGTCCTGGGTTCAGTTCTTAGTCCTACATCACTATGTAATAGTCTTTGGAGAAACTTCCTCTGACAGCGCCCCTGTGTTCAGCTTCCTTAGCTTTGCCTACATTTGTGGGTTGGCCAATATGTGGCCCTTCCTTCTATTACTCAGCCCCGGTGTTGGTGGGTGGAAGGGAGAAAACAGATCTGGAAGATGCATTTATTATTACGTGTGGAACAATGGGCAGTCTGGAGAGTACACGTAGAATGGTGGGCAGGCAGTATGATATTACACGGAGCATGGACAGGACTTGGGGGAGTCAGATCAATAGATAATAATTTTGGACTTAAGGTACTGCAAGAGATTCATGTTATCAAAATCAATTAATATAAAAGGTGGGCTTACTTAGGAAGTTTTAGTTTCTAATGAATAAAAACTGAATATGCAATCAATACTACCCAAAAAACCTGCATGCTCAATATAATAGTGCACTTTTAGTTTTCTCCTTTTTAAAGGAAGCACATATCACCTGTTTAAACACTCCAACACAAATGATGTTGCTTGCGGCTTTTCAGAACAACGAGCTAGTTTATTTTGAAAATGGACCATATTATTTATTTGCCAGCAGACAATTTATCTACAGGAAATGATTATACACAAATACTCACAATGGCTTATTCAACAGGAATCCTGTCTTAAAACAGGTATTTCCAGTGGTATTCTTCCATGAATAAATACAATGCCCACTGAAATACAAAGTTCTCACGAATGGCATGGTGCAAACAGGATTCAATAGTACCAATGGGGTTCAGAGTCACTGTGACATTACTTAGCAGAAAGAATCACTTTTGCAAAGCCACCTCCATGAGGTTTGGTTAAGAAACTTGTAATCAGTACCTCAGGTGTTTACTCATCAGTGTTGATTATAATTTTAAAAGATAAAATACACACACCACACTCTATTACATTAAAAAAAGTTTAAACTCTTTTTGTTTCTGAAAATAATAGTATAATTCTTCCCCCTCTAGAATATTTATCATCAAGTTTATTTTCACAAATAAATCACTTAATAAATTGTTTCTCTTTGATTCAACTCGCTTATGAGGTTTTTTCCCTCCATGCTTTAATTTTGAAATATTAAATGACTGTACAAAATGATCAAAAAAATCTGGTCTATTGTTTTATGTGGATACTTTCCAGATTAAAGAACATTTATGGGTTTTTTGGCAATAAAACTTATCTGCTTCTGGAATCCTTGCATTTCCTAGTAAGAGCTGCATTTACTCAACCACTACCATGTTGTTATACTGATAATGAAGTATGCTATGGTCAGAAAACATTTTTCATTTTTATGTTTTGCTAAATATTCACCAACACTGCAAAGTTTTTCTTCATTTGGTTTTCAAAACGCCTGCCTGGAAAAGATAAATTTTTAGGAAGTACGAGAGATAGAAAAAAAAAAAAACTTTAAAGAGTAGATTAAGAAAGATTGTTTCAAGTAAGAAGAGAAACTTGGAGGTCTGCATGATTCATGATGATAACGATAAATAAATCCACCTAGGACAGGTAGAGTACTAAGAAGAATCCAGGAAGTAAAGGCATTCTTAACAAGATCTAAATGTAGTGGTTGATATGCCAAGCCCTGCACATAAATGCTTTGATTTAATTTTTCCTCCAATTTTATGTAGTAGATACCATTATGTTTACTTCGTAGCTATTAAATTGAGAAACAGAATAAATTGCCTAAACTACCACAGCTGGGAAAATTAAGACTTGATTGCCTGCCCCATGACCACTGTGCAATAACGCCCCCTGGAGAAAAGGAGGTTACAAGCCAGATCCTAAGAGCTATAAGATTGTTTAAAATTTTTTGCAGCTTTGGGTGAATAGGGAAAATTACCAGTTAGTTCATGCAGATGTTAGTAGTTTGTTCTCCCTTGGAGAAACACAGAAGTAATAATATTGAATAAAGTCATCATTACTTTGATTTCTATTTAAATATAAATTCTCTCTAAGAAAATAAGTGACAAATAAGAATGCTTATAAATAGGATTTCTTTTTCTTTCTACTTTTTCCCCTTTCTCACTTGCACTTAAGGTGCTGAAAGTGGAGTTCATTGTACTCTTCACTGATATTAGTGGTCTTCATAAGTCCTGTCTCTCTTATTTTCTCTTCATCCTTGTAATGTGTTTAATGAATCCTCTAGGATATAGTCATATCCTTAAGAGATGTGAGAAATTGCTTTCTCACCGTATTTGTCATTGGGTAGACACCACTCTTCATTAAGGAATGCTGGATTGAGCTCCAAAATGTTTCAATTGGTCTGCATTCTCACCAGACATGCCTGAGGATTCCCCTTTCCTTTTGTAATTGCCGAATTTTACTATAATTTAGCTTTCTACATTTGTATAATCTTAGGAGTCAAAAAGGGTATTTAACTGCTCTGGCTACTGGTGATGGTATTCACCATTTTGTACACTTGCTAGCCACTCAAGTTTCCCCTTTGGTACTATCTATGTAAAGACTCAACTGGTTTTTCTATTTGATTTCCCCTTTTTCTCAGTGATATATTTCCCAGCTATCCATTATAAATATATCCTCCTTTATTCTAGTAGCCTTTTAATTTTAGCTATCAAGTTTAGAACATCTAGGGTTTATTTTTGTTTATATTTCGTGTAACTTAATTTTTCTCCATATAATAAAATCTCATACAATTCTCTACTAAATACTCTTTTTATTTCTGTCAATGACAACAGATTTATTTCACCTCTATTATGCTCCAACTTTTGATCCAAACGGTACTTTTGGCCTCAATATTGCATTCCACTTGTCTTTTTGTTTCCATGTCGGAACCACACTATGTATTCCACTTTATTTTGTACCATTAAAATGATGTTGTGACATGTCTTCATACACCTTAGGTTGATTCTCTTTCTTTGCTTTCTTATTTGTAATCTTTGTTTCTCACAGACCTTTGTTTGCCCATATGATCTTTGAATCAGTTTGTTCAGTTCCTCAAAAACTTCTTCTGAAATATTATCAGAAAATGTACTGAATTCATGAGTTAATTTGAGAAGAATGGCATCTCTACAATGTTAAATTTTACCAATCACGAACATTTATGTCTGCATTTATTTAGGATAATTTCTATTTATTTATTTATTTTATTATTATTATTTTTTGAGACGGAGTCTCGCTCTGTCACTCAGGCTGGAGTGCAGTGGCGCGATCTCGGCTCAGTGCAAGCTCCGCCTCCTGGGTTCACGTCATTCTCCTGCCTCAGCCTCCCGAGAAGCTGGGACTCTAGGCACCTGCCACCACGCCTGACTAGTTTTTTGTATTTTTTAGTAGAGATGGGGTTTCACCGTGTTAGTCAGGATGGTCTTGATCTCCTGACCTCGTGATCCACCCGCCTTGGCCTCCCAAAGTGCTGGGATTACAGGGGTGAGCCACCGTGCCCAGCAGGATAATTTTTTAAAAATTTGTGATAGAATCCTTAATACGGATTTTCTTATTTGCTTATTTTATGTAGTAACACACAACAGAGAAGTATACACGTCTATGTGCATAGTTCAATGGATTATCACAAAGCAATCAAATCCATGTAAATCACCATTTAGATCAAACATAGGAATGTTGTCAGCATAGCGCAAGCTTCCTCATACTCCACTATTCCCCAAAAGTAAATGGTGTTTTGACTTCTAATATTCTAGATTCATTTTGTTGATTTTTAATTTTATATAATGGAGTCATATAATATGCAGGTGGTTATGGGGTTACATGTGAGAAAAGCTGTTTACAGAATTCTTCACTTAGCCCAGTGTTTGAATTCATATCGGTGTATCTGTCCTTCTTGGACCCTTGGTCTTTGGCATCAAACGGCATGGAAAGTGGGCTGCTGGAACAGAAATACCCTGACTCATGATGGCATCAACAGCCATTCATTGAAATCCCCAGTGTTAAACTTTGAATATAAATTCACAAATGTATTTTTCTTGATTTGGGATAAAATATAATAAATGACTAGATTGTCTAACGATCCGAAATTTTAAAGTGTTTTCCCTCAAAAAATGTGGAATTATTTAATGAAAGGATGATCTGCCAGATCAGGGAACAGAGTTAAGAGCATTCTTAAGGTTGATACCCTATGATACGGTGCTAACCTTGCCTCCTATTGATGGTAAGGTATAAACAACCCAAAGGCCAAGTGAACTTGGGGCTTTCTCTGCTGAACCATCTTCCATGCACTGTGAAGTTGGTGGAGCCAATGTGAAGGCACCTACACCTCTCTGGCAGGGATGTTAATACTCTCACTTGTGCCAACTAAAGAAAGCGAAATCATTTGCTTTTCTATTTCTTCATAAAATCTTAAACTTTCACCCAACTCTTTCCGTTGCTGTGAAAATGTGTGTTTCTGTCATGAACTGTACAGGCCTTTGAAGAGCAGGCTTTTCCTTTCCCACACAGTATGCTATTAATAGTCCTATTTTAATTGGATGAACTTTCATTTTCATTTTTTCTTTTGAGAAAACCAATCTGTGCTAGTTGTGGAAACAATTATTCAACATGCAGCTTTAAAAGCCTGTTAGAACACTCTCTTAGGAAAGTCAAAACCAGGCAGGATTAGCTTTCCAAGACGGATGACAGTTGTTTACACTCAAGCGTCGTGCAATCCAGCAAATCTGCAAGGTTTATTTTTAGCATAAAATTAGCTATTTCATTTTCCCCTACAACTGAGAATGTTGAAATGATTAACATGATTTTAAATCACTCAACAATCTCAAGTTAGAAAGATAGGAATTAGACTTTGTGCCGAAGGAAACAGAAAAAGGCTGGGTACATTCTAATTCTTAAAAACCTCATTTTTCTTTTAGTATTTTTCTAAATGCTTTTTTCCTCTAATATTTTATGTAATCCAATAGTAAAAAATAAAATACACAACTTCAGAGAAAAGTCAATGCTGCCTTTGGAGAAATCAGTTTGGCAGCTTTATTGTCTCTCTAAATTCTTGATGATAAAATAAAATTACAAATGTGATAATAATAGTACATACCTGTTCAAGTTCCAAGATCATTGAAACGTGAATGGCAAGATAATAAAAGAAATTTGGAAATATTTTGAATATTTCTCCCTAGGAAATTGATTTTTAGACCAGTTAACCTCTGGGGATATGGTTTCCTTACCTATAAAACTAAGTGATTGAGTTTAATGTCATTATAACTTATTCATCAATAAAATAAGCAGAAATAAATTCAAATATACTTGAAAGACAACAAAACATAGTCAATTATGGTAAGAAAAGAATTGTTCTGTTAATAGGTAATATAACTTGTAGGCTTAAATTAGGATCTTAAGTTAATCAGTTGGCTTCTATGAGATTCCGTTTGTTATCAAAATGAAAGAGTTGGACTAAATCAAGTGTTCCTTACCTGGGTTATGGTTTTTGGCCCAGAGGAACAAAAGAACCCTGATATATTATGAACATTTTGAGTGCATGTATACTTTCCCAGAGGAGGGTTTATAGCTTCCTTTTCAAATTCTCAAAGAGGTCCAAAGCTGGGAACACACTAGATGATCTCCAATGTCTCAGTTGCTCTGACTTCCTAAGGTTAGTATGACTTGCAACTCCACTTGGCTTCCGATTAAGGAAGAGACTGCCTTTTTCGCTGAATTTACAGTCCAAGTGATTATTTTAAAATTGAAATTATCTGTTGTCTATAAAAAATATTTCACTATACATAAGACAAATATCCTGGCTAACCAGGACATTCTATAAATCAATTGTCATGAAGTTCCTGAAATATTTTTGTTGTCTAAAAAGAAGACCCAACTTGATTACAAATTTAATTTACATGGAGACATAATGTCCATAAAAAGGAAAAAAGTTGTTTTCATATGTAATAGGGTTTGTCTTGATGAACAGATGGAAAGTAACCCAGAAGCAGGTGGGTTGTGTACACATTTGTTATGTAAGAAGAGGCAAAAGCTTTGACTTAGTAAGAAAGTCATCTTCAGTGAAGAGCGTGGGAGAACTTTTTCCATTGAAACAAAGGCATTATGATGAAATGCTAAAGCTGTCAAAATAAAAATTGCTTTAGCGACAATGTTAAGTTTTTGTCCTGGTGTCTGAAGAAGGGAAGAGTACAGAGATGGAGCAGATACAAAGCTTTCCTCATTCCCAGCAGATGGGAAACGTGTTGACACCTGGTGGAAAATGCTTCTGGCTTAGTCAGATTTATTCTTTCAAATTTCTATTCTCCTTGTGAATTGTCTCAAGTGACAAGATGCAGACCTTTGATATATAATAAACTCAACCACTGATTTTTAGTTCCTGTAATATAAAGATTTTTGTTCAGATATCCTGGGGCTAATCTGCTGTGGGTTACCTAGAAACTGTTCTAGTTCTTTAGACTCTTGAAGGGAAACATTACTTTACTTTTTTTTTCCTAGTTTGTTTTAATGTTTTTGACTTTGGAATTGTATGCATGTTAAAATATATAGCTGATATAGGAGAAAGAGAAGGAAGGGGAGGACATTCCGTTAGGCTGGATCCAAATGATCTGCATCATAATTGAGATAGAGATGTCTTGGTGTAAGTGGACCACATAAAACCAGACAAAACAACAGTCAATTGACTATCGATATGCATGCATATAGCCAGGCATGGTGGCTCACACCTGTAATCCCAGTCCTTTGGGAGGCCGAGGCAGGCAGATCACCTGAGGTCAGGAGTTTGAGACCAGACTGGTCAACATGGTGAAACCCTGCCTCTACTGAAAATACAAAAATTAGCTGAGCACAGTGGTGCAAGCCTGTAATCCCAGCTACTTGGGAGGCTGAGGCAGGAGAATCGCTTGAACCTGGGAGGCAAAGGTTGCAGTGAGCTGAGATCATGCCACTGCACTCCAGCCTGGGCGACAGATCGAGACTCAGTCTCAAAATAATAATAATAATAATAATAATAATAATAAAGATATGCATGCTATGAATGCAAATGGTTTCCTCAGAGATGAGGCTTAAAGGATTCCTAAGGTAATTTTGGAAGAAGATGCTAATGCTAGAAGGTACAGATGCAGAACAAGCAGGGCATTCATTCACTTTCTCTCTGTTCTATGCACAGGAATTCAAAAATACCAAGGCAAAATTACTGTCCCAAGAAATTAACTGTTTCATAGTTAAGAAAGGCAAAAAGAAGAATGGATATAAGATAGGAGATGGAGGATTTTCAGAATATGATGACTGAATCTAGATGTAGGTGGTAAAGAATGATAATCAGATTGTTATTTCTTAAACAAAGGGAAAACTAGTAGTAAAATTGTAAGTGGAAAGATCACAGGACTCTATCCTTGCCAACTGTTTAGATGACTATGGAAAGCAGTTTCCCTCTGAAATCTGGATTTCAAGCCCCCTGAGAGAACTTTGTTCCAGGACTTAAAGGGTACTAAAAGAAAAATTGAGTCTTGTCCTACCAGGTGAAATGTCCCAGTGAACTAGCAAGAAAATGAAATCGAGGAATCAGTGATTGGAGTTAGAGGGAAAACAAGCCTAGAAGATACTCTTTAACATATGTAAACCTGCTTAAGCTAAGTGAGTAACCAGACACTGTGTGTCTATAATTTATCTCTTGTATATAAATTGTATCCCACAATCCCTCCCTCTGAGATAAAAATAGTCATGCACACAAACTGACAAGACCTGTTCTGTATTTCAGTGAGCCCTGTGAAGGAGGGACACCTTCAAAGAAGAAAAAGTATAATGACTACCAGCGTATGGGCCCTAACAACACAGAGACAAATATAATCTTGTACATTTTAGCACTCAATAAATGTCATGGTAATGGAATAGGGAGGAGAGCTACAGATGTTCAATTTTTCCAAAGCAGAGATATTCAAGAGCTATACTGTGAGAACTCAGCCAGAATAAAAAGTAATTGTTTGGGAACTTGTTGGGGAACATTAATCAGAGACAACTGAGGCACAAGTCTGTAAAGCTCCCTAGAAAACACAGAAATTGAACTGGGATTTGTTTGCACAAGAGAGCAGGTTTTGAGGATATCACAAATTATCTTTAGAAAGACTTAAAGCTTTATGTTTCCCCTTTACCCTTCAACAATTCTTGGAAAACTGTCTCCTTTCAGAGGTAGAGGTGTTATTTATTCCTGGATTCTCAGTGGAAAATAAATGGTATTAGTAGGCATGGTGAAGAAAGAAGCATATGGCTTCAAGATTACTTGATTGCCACACTGTGATGTCAGTGATCTTGCCATAGTTTTTTGGTTTTGATAGCTAGGTTTATCCCATAGCTCCTCAAATCCATGCCTAGATTGTGACCATTCTTAACCAGGTCATGTAGCTAGCACATGGTAAAGAATTATTTTGTGTCATCTAGAATGTAAAATTTGAACTATTCTGTAGAGGTTTCCAGGAAACGTTTTAAGATAAATTTAAGAAAGAAGTCTCTAAGGAGTCTTAGAGTTTTATGTAGTTGACATGACCTGTCTAGTGAAATAGTGGACTCCATGTTATCAGAGTTATTCATGAAGAAGCCGGAATATCTACTTACCAGGAAGTGACAGAAATTTCTTGCATTTAGTAAGAAGGTTGTTAGAGGACACCTAAGGCTTTGTCAAATCTTGCTTCCTAATTGTGGGGCTACATGGTGGTGCTTAGAGTGGGATAAGTGGAAAGAGGCCTAGTGCTTACTTAAAAGAGCTGTGGTATAGACTGATTGCTCACACCAACAAAATAAACAAACCTACGCAATGTTTATAAAACTATGTAGTTCAGAATTCAAGGAAGTTGTCCAAATTTCAAGACCCAGACAGTTAAGCTCAGGAGCTTAACTTACAAAGCCAAGAAAGAATTTAAAAATCACGTCAAATCCAGAAACAGGAGGAAGAAAAAAAGCTGGTGTTATCATTTACAGACAAATTCTAACAGAGGAGCAGGCCATAAAAGCTTGGGAAAAAACATTTTAAAGTGTCCAGCTGCCTCTGGTTTATGTGAAGAAAGAAGATGAAAAATGAGAAGGCAGGATCGGTAACCACTTTACCTACAATGGTTAGAGAAGGCGAGAATTGGAATCTGAATGCTAAGAAGAGGCAGCTAAGAGAAGATCTGAAAATCAAACATTTCTAACAGAAGGCACAGTGAGTACAGAATCTGAATATTATGAACAAGCTTGGTGTGTTCAGCAGCAGAAAAGAAGGCCAGAATACCTGGAGTTCGGGGACTAAGAGGGAGGATGGAAGAACTTAAGGTTTAAGTGATAGGCAAGTGATACCCATCCAATAGTCCCATAGAATAGTTTTTTTTCTTTCGGATGAATATAGAAATTGACCCTTCTGCTCTTAAGCTTAAAACTTATATTTATTTTATCTGAATTCCTTCCTCAGGAAAGGGTTCCCAGGAATCTCAAGAAGTATCAAAGAACTGAGACTTACCAGATCACCACACCCAGATAATGAGTTGCCGACCCCTCATTCATCGTGACTGCTTCCTTGCCCCTTCCCAGTTCCTGCTTTCTTATACATTGTTACGTTTCTTCCCTGCTGTCTAAACTCTTACTTTTGGTGGGTCAGGAGATGGATTAGAGACTGATCTCCCATCTCCTGGGCTGCAGCACCCGATTAAAGCCTTCTTCCTTGGCAATACTCGTCATTTCAGTGACTGGCTTCCTGTTCAGCGAGAAGCAGGAACTAGACCAAACATGTTTTGGTAACACAAGGACCACTTCGTGTAGGGTTATGTGGAGTTTGTTAAGAAATTTGGATTTTATTTTGTTTCTAAAGAAAGCCACAGACTTTTTGACATGAACAACTATCAGTGAGAAGATAGTATAGACAGGAGGAAACAAACTCTTTTTACCTCAGACCATCATGGGACAGACAGAGACAGCTGAAACAAGAGACTCAGTCATATTTCCAGGAGAATAAATGCGGTTAGGATTTTGAATTATATGATCAGTGTATCTCTTGGCTATGGGAACAACTCAGGCTTCATGAGGGCACTGCCATGAATATAAGGGGACAATGGAATCTTTATTCACAGAAGTCAAAGATCCAGAGGGGCAAGTAGAAAGTTGTAAAACTTAGGCATAGGGACCAAAGATGATATATGACCCCACAGAATAAGTTAATTTTGGAGAGAACAAAAAGAGCCATGAATCTAGGCAGAATGATTCCTTGATGGCTATCTCAGAAATCTAGGATCCTGAGTCAGATTGATTCTGAGAAAGAACAAGTGGAGAGAGTAGGGGTCTACCAAGCAATGACATTTTGAAGTCCTCATAAGTTTGCGATGCTTACAGCTCTTCTGTAGTTGCTGCCCTTGGCTAGTAACTTGGATATGCTGAACACCAAATGTGGGAAAATCTTGGAGGTGTGGGAAGCTATAAATAAAGACATTGCAATGGAACAGGAGGTAAAAAGTTGCATTACAAAAGCCTGTTTTTAAAAAAATGAAACTTACTAAACTGCATCTGGAAATTACACTGTGTTTGTAAGTTATACAACCAAATGAATATTCCTTCACAAGACTCACCTTGGAAGCCAGACATTAATTTCGAAAAAATGCTTTTTTTTCTCATGGCAATTTCAGAGCTCTTTTACAAGACATGCAGGTGCATACTTTTGTGACCAAACTTGTCTGATCTCTTCAGTAACATTCCTCTTTGATCTGTGACTGAAGGCTGGTTCTCAAGTCAAATCGACTCTAAAGAACGAGTATTTATCACCGCTTATAAGTTTTCACAAAATATTCTTTTAATTTTGAAGACATGTTCAAAATTATTTTGAGTGTCACACCATCATTATAAAGCAAGAAATTCCTGAAGTAACTACAGGATTTTTCTGCTTTCATTTATAATTAATTCTTAAAACTTTCTACGAAAAACTCCACATAAAAAGTCAAATGATAAACTATTCCTTATAAACTATTTTAAACATATTCAAAAATATGTTTAAGCACTGCATATATATTTGTGTTTACCATTTATACTTATTTATTTTCTTTCATAATTAAGCAGACAGTTGGATGACATAAATCTAAAGGGTAGACAATTAAAGCTAAGAATTTCTTCTGTGCCAGTTGTATTGTTTTATCATTTGCATCACATTTTCATTTGTCCATGTTTTAGAACTTTCTAAGTAAAGAGAGTGGAAAGTAATAAAATATTTAAATAATTGCACAAACAGTGCCATCTAGGTAAAAATGTCACATTACACAGTAAGTCTGGAAATAGGTTGTTCAGAGCTAGTAGGTTAGTGCCAATTATTCTTCCCCTCCATCCTACCACGTAGTTCTTACCCTCAGAATTTCCTCATAGACAAGGATGGCTGCTGAAACTTTAGCTCTCATATCTGAGTTGCAGATCAAGTAGAAGAAGAAAGCTAAGAGAATTAAAAATGTGTTCCTTCTAGAAGTAGATTCTCTATAAACAGTTTTCCAGAAGTCTCATACATGTCCATTTGTATCTTGTTGGCCAGAACATAGTCATATGACCACAAGCTGATAAGGAGCTCAGTTAAAAATTGATTTCTCTTCTTAAGGAGGACAGTGAGGGGTCATGAATGCTGAAGAGACAACTAGAACTCTCTGCCAAGATTGAGTTAATTTCCTTAGAATCCTACTCGTGTGGCAGTCTCCATCTTGTTTCCTCAGATCATCTAGACAGGACCAATAATTCTCTCCATTACATTATAACTTCTCTCATATTGAACAAAACCTGAGTACAATTTAGGACATCAACATTTACTTTTGTAATACTATGAAATTTGAAGACTGACTCTTCAACAGTTATTTGATTACATAGATTACTCATGTTTATTGTAAAAGTTTATCACTAAAGGTCCTCTTCATATAACCAAACATCTACTTCACTAGAAGGAACACTGTAGAGGAGGCATTTGAAAATGATGCTTTGAGTTAAAGTTGGTTAACTCTCCGTCAAACTTGTTGGCTGTTATACTTGTGTTTAATATATATTTCCACTGGAGAAATTTCAAAACACTGTAATAGTTAAAATTGAAGTAACTTGAGAAACACAAATCCCACCCCCCTCCTCCCTTTGTTTCTTTACCGAGCAAAGCTCCTTTTGGACAATTTCTCTGACGTATTAATATCTTTCAAATCCATGTCTTGGCTATTGTGATTAATGCTGCAATAAACATGGGAGTGCATATATCTCTTCAAGATCTTGATTTTAATTCAATTGTACAAACATACAGAAGTGGGATTTGCTGGATTATATGATAGTTCTATGTTTAATTTTTTGAGGAACTTCCAAATTATTTTTCATAGTGGCTGCACCATTTTGATTTTCCCACCAACAGTGTACAAGTCTTCCAATTTCTCCACATCCTTGTCAACACCAGTTTTTCAAAAATTATATAATAGCCATTCTAACAGGTATGAAACAATATCTCATTGTGGTTTTGATTTGTGTTTTCCTGATGACTAATGATGTTGAGTGATGATATCTTTTTTTTTTTTTTTTGAGACAGAGTCTTGCTCTGTCACCCAGGCTAGAGTGCAGTGGCGTGACCTCACCTCACTGCAAGCTCTGCCTCCCAGGTTCACACCGTCCTCCTGCCTCGGCCTCCCGAGTAGCTGGGACTACAGGTGCCCGCCACCACGCTCGGCTGATTTTTTTGTATTTTTAGTAGAGACGGGGTTTCACCGTGTTAGCCAGGATGGTCTTGATCTCCTGACCTGGTGATCCACCCGCCTCGGCCTCCCAAAGTGCTAGGATTACAGGCATGAGCCACTGCACCCAGCCGAGTGATGATATCTTTTAACTGTTAGTGGGAATATCTTTTTCACATACCTGTTAGTCATTTTTACATCATTTTGGGGGAAATGTCTATTCAAGTCCTTTGTCCACTTTCTAACTGACTTACTTGCCTTTTTACTATTAAGTTGTTCCTTATATATTTTGGAAATTAATCTTTTATCAGATATATAGTTTATAATTGTTTTCTCCCATTTCATAGCTTGACTTTTCACTCTGTTATTTCTTTTGCTTTGCAAAACTTTTTAGTTTTATGTAATCACACTTGTCTATTTTTCCTTTTGTTGTTTGTGCTTTTGGTGTCATACCCATGAAATAATTGCTGAGACAATGTCATGAAGTTTTTTTTACTTGGAGTTGATTTTTATATATTGTGTGAGAGGAGTGTTCAATTTTATTTTTTTGCTATGGATATTCAGTTTTCCCAACATCATTAATTAAAGAGACTCTCTTTTTCCCAGTGAGTATTCTTGGACCCTTGCCAAACACCAGTTGACCATATAAGCATGAGTTTCCTTCTGGGCTCCCTGTTCAATTCCTTTGTATGATTATTCACAATAGCTATAATGTGGAAATGACCAAAATATTCATTGAGAGATGAATGTGTAAAGACAATGTCTTATAAACATATAATGGAATATTATCCAACCATAATAAACAAATCCTGCTATATAAGAAAGCGTGAATGAACCTTGAGGACATTATGCTAAGTAAAATAAGCTAGTTGCAGAAGGACAAATACTATGTGATTCCACTTATATATGGAGTTCAATATAGTAAAACTAGCAGAAACAGAAAGTAGGATAGTGGTTGCTGGAGGCTGGGTGAGAGGAAAATTGGGATTTGCCATTTAACAGGCATAGTTTCAGTTAGGTAAGAAGAATAAGTTCTACAGATACCTGTAGAACATTATGTAGAACAAATGCTGTACAACATTGTGCCTGTAGGTAACATTACTCTACTATATACTTACAAATTTGATAAGAAGATAGATCTCATGTTATTTGTTCTTGCTGCAATTAAAGAACAAAGAAATAGCAAAATGCATGTGTTGATATTTGAATTCAGAACTTAGATCACTTTCCAATCTTTGTGTGTTACTTTCAGAGTCAATTACTGGCTGGGTGTGATGGCTTATGCCTGTAATTCCAGCATTTTGGGAGATTGAGGCAGGTGGGAGGATTGCTTGAGCCCAGAAGTTTGAGACGAGTCTGGCCAGCATAGTGAGACTCTCTATCTAAAAAAATAAAAAAGGAAAATTAGTGGGGCATGATGGAACATGCCTACAGTCCCACCTACTCAGGAGGCTGAGGCAGAAAGATCCCTTGAGCCCAGGAGTTTGGGACTGAAGTGAGCTGGGATCTCACTATTGCACTGTAGCCTGGGCAACAGGTGAGACCCTATCAAAAAAAAAAAAAAAAGTCAATTACCAATAAATATGAGGACTGGCTATGCTCTGACTTTAAGACTCACACCTTCGAAAGTCTGTTTCTAAATAGGCAGTCATGATAACTGAACAGAAAAACAGAAAATATCGAACAAGAAAGACATTAAAGCAATTAGAAAAGAATAAAATAATCTTGTCTGTAAGGCCAATAAAAATTAGACAAAATAAAATAAAAACGTTAAAGTTTAAATACACTTTCTGATCATGAAAATAATATTATTTGCTAAGATTGCACAAACTATGAAGTTGTAAAGGAGTCTTTATGATTTTGGTTGTCTTGTCCTGAATCTAGGTTTCTAATCCTGCAGTTTTTTATTGTGGTTCAGAGTTTAGGATTTCTTATACCTAAAGAAAGTAAAGTCACCTTATTTTGAATTGAGTATTGACTTGTGTTTTCAATGGGTTTCTAATGCTAATATAAATTAAAAATGTTGAAGTACACCGACTGGCAAATAAATGGAATTAGTGAAACTCCCATGGAAAAAATAACCCAACAACACAGTCATGCATGTTAAGGTGTCATTAGCAAAGAATTTTGCCGTAATCAAGTAAAAGGGCACTGAAATAGTAGAGTAAAAGTGTTCCATTATGTAGTAAAATTATAACAGCAAAATATGTCTGGCACTATTTATAATTAATTTTATAATAATCAAAAGATAGAATAAAAATAAGAGAATAGAACTATGATATAAATGATCTCTTAATAGCCTTTTTAAAGTTCATACCTGTGTTATTGGGCACATTGTTAAACTTCTTTTTTTTCTTATCCATAAAATGGAAAAATATAAGCCTAAATAATAGAGCCATTGAGATGACTGGGTTAACACAGTCAAAGAACCCAGAGCAATAATTCTGTCTATTATTATTATGATTTAAAAGAAGCAAATAATGTTGATAAATGCAATCATACTGAATTTGAGTATATATGTTTTGGTCTTATTTTTCAGAGAATTTTCTATAACTAACTGCAGTAATTGCCCCACAGCACTTCTTTATTCAATTACCTCGAGTAGAAAGAGAATACAGCTTTCTTGGTTGCAATTATCATTAGTATGCAAATTCTATCATTAGCACAGAGTTCTGCAGAGGAGATAGCTGGAAAAAAAACCACAAAACACTGATGAGCATTCTTTCATAGCACTGCATAGTTTCTCCATGGTGACGGGGAGTAAAACTCTGGATTAAATGAGTAGAGATATTAAAGCTTCCTATTATCTATCAGCTTTTTCATAGCATTTGCTCTATTTACGGTGCAAATTGTACCAGTATGAACCTTGCATATGGTATGTTGAAACCAAAGTGGGTTGTTTTGTGTTAACACAGGAAGTGTATTATAAGATCATGATCTCTGAACCCAGATTGCCTAAACTCAAGCCTCTGCTCTGCTCCTTATTAGTTGTTTAACCCTGGGTAAAATATTTAAAATCTCTGGGTGTCAGTTTCCTCATATGTAAAATGATAACAGTACCTACTCCACAGGGTTTAGTGAGAATTAAATGAGTTAATATACATAAAGCACTGAGCATAGTGCCCAGACCTAGCAATGTCCAATGTCAGTTATTACTAGCAGTCGGTGTGATAGCTTTTCTTACTACCTTTTTTGATCTACATAAAATCTCTCTCTAATTTTGGAAGAGTTTACCTCTTTTTCAAGCCAAAGCATTGCTGTTATTGTTTTCAGAGCACTTAAATCCATCTTTCTGTGAGCAATCATTTAATATTATTGTCCAGAATTTTCCTTACAGTGAGGAAACTACCCTTTGGTTGCAAGTCGCTGCTGACTCTGTGCCCTCTCCTGCCCAAACAGGAATTGAGCACACTCTGCTCTCCTCTGAAGTTCCACTGTCCACTCAGAATCCAGACTAAAAGAGACCTCACGCTGCAGTAAGTGGCTCTGATGGTAGGCCAGGATAAGGGAATAATTATATATGATTTTCATTCTAATTTTGTGCCTACAGGGGAGCCCTGCTCAATGCAACTGTTAAACTGTGTTCGTTTTCTTCCTCAAATGGCTTAAGTCAAGTTCATTTTCTGAGGGCTGCCTAGACTACTTCTCTGAGTTTCACATTTTATATTTAACTCTCAACTGGTCATCTCTATCTAGATGTCCAACAAGTGCTTCCTATCCAGTGTGTCCCAAATTGACTCATCATCCTTCCTCTAAAAATACCTCATCTTCTGGCATCTTCTGTCTCAGTTACCCAAGCTAGAATTTTTGACAGCTGTCTCTTCCTCCCACCCTACACTGAACCTTAAACTTCTTCCCAGCTATTCTAGGATAGTCCAGATTTCAAATATTCTGCCCAACTTTCCATAATTTATAAGCGGTCTAAACTGCTCAACTGAGCTTCAAGACTGTAAATTTGCAATAGAGCCATTATGTAAAGCTCTGGGATTTCTCTCCATTGTTGCTCAGTTCAGAGAACATTGATTCTGATATTTGACCATAGGTTCTATGTATTTTATGATATAGTGTGTAAATCAATGAATTCCTGAAGATAAAATCATAATGTAAAACCTAAATGCTAAAAAACACAGTACCCTGAAATCAATGGCTCATAGTTAAAGCGAAATCAAATTTACATGTCCATGGAAATCTGGTAAATTTGATTTGGTTTGTGTGTTCAATAGGAAAGGACATATGAAAAGAACATATGCACTGTCTGCACAACATAGTGAGACTGTCTCTACAAAAAATAAAATTAGCCAGGCACGGTGGTGTGTGCCTGTAGTCCCAGCTACTCCAGAGGCTGAGACTGGAGGATCACTTAAGTCCATGAGTTCCAGGCTTCAGTGAGCTGTGGTTGCCCCACTCCACTCCAGCCTGGGCTACAGAACAAGACTCTGTCTCCAAAAAAAAAAAAATGCAAAGAACATGGCATTTGCCATGACACTCAGTTTATTCAGGTTAAGTGAAGACTTTGCATAGTTTTTTTGTTTGTTTGTTTGTTTTGCATTTTCTTTCTTTTCTCCTTCATTCTTTGACCCTGTAAAGTACCAAGATGGGAAAAAACTTTAAGTAATATTCTTTAATTTCCATTAAAGTCCTTAAATAAAATATTACCAAAGACCAAAAAGCCTGACATTTCCTAGCAATGCATAGGCATTTAGCTGAAAAAAGAACAATAGCAAAAAATACAAAAAATAGTAATTGTCTATTCCAAGTCTATCCTCTAGATGAGAGATTTGGGCCAAGATTCACTTTTGACTTTCCAATGACCAAGACAAAACAAAGGAAACCAGATTAATTATTTGTGTTGCTTTCATGCTCACCATTTATAACTACAGATAAAGCAAGATTTTAGCATATTCATTGTCCCTCTTTGCCATTTTAAACCTTGTAAATCAACATTAATATTATTTAAGAAGGTCAAAATGGTGATGGAAGAAGCCATTCTCATTTTTTTTAAGTCTGAGCATTGGGTGTGGGGTGCAGCTGTGACAGGCACACATGTTCCCAGGGGTCTTGTTTTACTACTGAGAGATACAAGGACGTTCAAGCTCTTAACCTTTCTCCTCACATTCTCAAAAAATGCAGTAAAAAATAAAATAAATGTAATTTTAAAATGAGTGTGGTTGTGCTTCATGGCAGGCAGTGGTGTGTGAGTGTGAGTGTGAGTGTGTGTGAGTGTGAGTGTGCGTGTGTGCGCATACACGTGCATGTTTAACATCTCTACCTAATGTGAGAGCTGGACATTCAATCTAGCTATCCTGTGCTAATTACTTGTGCAGATGGAGAAAAAAAAAGTTCAAGTTAATTTAAGAGAAATTAGCGTCATTGTGTAGAATGAAACAGAACTTTCAAAGTTTTTAACATTGTTTTTTCCATGATTCCTTGTATGAGGCAAGCAAATCACCATCAACAAAATGTTTCCCATGAGGAAACCCGGTCAAAGAGGTCAAATAATTCCTCCTGAATCCCATAACTCTGAGGCAGCGCATTGGTTCAAATATCAGAAAACCTGGCACTAAGTCTTTCCGTATTTCCACCCGACAGTCTTGTGTTTTGGAAGCAACTCATTTAACCTTATCTGAATCACCACCAAAGTGCCTAAAACCTGCAAGATGATAAGGGCTTGCAAAATTTAAATAAATCACAGCCCAGAAAAACAGCCACACTTTGTCAAACCATCAAATAGTTGGCAGCTCTTTCTTTCCTTTTAGGGGTTTTCTTGTTGGAGTTGACACTCTGGTTAGAGTAGATTCTAAAATGGTTAGACTTATACAACTTTGTTGTAGTACTCACTCAGAAGAACTACTGCCAACAGAATTATTCCAAAAATGCTAGTCAAGTACAATTCCAGTTAGAAATAAAGGATACCCAAATGTGTGAAGTGTGACAAGTTGGTTTTAGTAAACAGGGTCTATGGACCTAAAGTAAAGCCCCATCACCTCCAGAAGATGACCTATTGAACAAAGACTAATTATGCACCTTTCTGCATGCTTCAGGCCTAAGGAGATTCCTGGCATATAGGAGAAGTGGGATAACTCTGAGAAAAAGTTTTGCTGGAGCATGCCTAACCTGGGACTACAGTTCTCGGGGAAAAATTTCTTTTGCATCCTCCATGGTAGGCACCTTGTTCTTTCATCCTTTTCCTCTCTCCCTGGCCATGTTCATCCATGTTTCCTGTATGCAAAGACAAAATTAAACACACCTAAAAATAGAAAGGCACAGGCACAGAACTATCAGAATGGATGCCCTACAGTTAAAATGGTGTTGACAGTGAACAGCCAGCACCACTCTCTGGGTGAACATCAGCCCTTCATTTCCTATGAGAAAAAAATTGTCAGAACTACTTGTCCTAGACACAAGTTTTTCATGCCTTTGAAATAGCTGAGGCTGTGTTTCTTTTGAAGCTCATGGATATACTTGAGAGAGTCCATTGACAATGTGAACTTCATTGCAAAATTATGTATGTGCATTTTTCTGAAGAAAAAAACACTGTAATTTCCATGAGATTCTAGTAAAAAAAGAGCCCATGACTCAGAAAAGTTAAGGAGTACTATTTATTTGGGTTAAAATGATAAATAAATCAGTACACTAAAATGCTAGAGAGCAGAGTAGACTCATTCCCCAACAGGGTACTATTTAATTCCCTAACGGGTTATATAATTGATGTAGCACAGGAGTCTTTTAAAGACCAAAGGAAACAACCTCTATTTATGTAAATTTATAGGATGGACCCTAACACTTCAGGAGAGCTGCCTTTTCAGGAGTGTCTCTGGTGACAGGGAGATCCATTAGTCTTGAAAAATATTCTCAGCCTGTTCATGTCACTCAATGATTTAAATTTAATAATAACTTGATGATGTATAAATGCATCTTCCACCCCAGAGTTTTACTGGTAATTGAGAATGAATTTATTAAATTGGCCCCTGAGAGGTTTCTGTTGAGAAAGGATGACTTTAGCAAGATCACGGTGAGGACCATGATGAAGAAGGGAAAGGACCCAGAAAGGACTCAAATCTCCCTAGCAGGTGACTGACATCATTTCTCTTCCATGGAGAACCTCAGCAATGATTAAGAGCACATCCATGGTAATCTAGTGCAGTCCTTCTGTGTCTTGCATGAGTCACGTCGTTACAGAACAGAAAAGTTTGGGGTTCTAAAGTGACCTTCACTGACTTCTTTGTCAAAGACAGGTACTTTCTTCTGGGAAGCTGGAGTGAACGAGCCTGTGTGGTTTGAGGTCAGAGCCCACATACTGCTGCCTGTTCCTATTTCTAGGATATGCAGAGAAAATCTATGGAAGAAGAAAGCATTTATGATGATGAAAACCATTAGAAGGAGAGCAGTTTCTTGAAAATTAATCCTAGAACTCATGTAGTCACAATTGAAAAGCTTCTATCACCAATTACAGTCTGATTGGATTAAGACTCAGAAAGATGTAACTTTTAGCTTACTCTTACCCATTTCTTAGAAGTGTCATTCTGAAGGCAATCAATAGCACTTCTGGTCTAAAACCCTAGAAGGCAGCTCTTCCTCCTCATTCTACTAAATGATGTCAGGAAGTCAGTCATTTCTATTACCCAAAGAGATTCCTATCTGTGGTTGGCTCATACCGATATTCACTAGGCACAGCACTTTACGGCTCCCTTTCACTGATTCTATTGTTTTCCTCCCTGCAGAGAGAAGACCTTTTTCTTTTATCAATTATTTTAAAATAGTATCTAATTCATTTCAATATTAATGAACCTCTGGATCAGATAAAAAATTTTCCTAACTTTTAAAGGGGTCAAATTAATTTTCTTCATGTCACTAAGAAACAAAAGCAAACAAACAAACAACAATAACAGCAAACCAAGCAACTAATAAAAATTGGGTGGAATACAACTGGGTCCTAGACTGAGTCTTCACTGGTATTACAGTAACACTGCTAACTGTTTTCAACAAGTCTTTTAAAACTAATCTCTTGTATTCATCTGCAGTGAGGTAAAATATCAGAACAGTGTTGGGGAATGCTTAAATCTAAAAAGGAAGGATGCAATTTGCTAATACTTGCTATGTAAGAGACACTTTGTTGTGTGCTTCGTATGTATTATTTTCATTTATACCTACAGAAAACCCCATCTTACATAGAGAAAACTGAAGTTCAGGGATGAGCTTAACCTGCTCAGAGTCTCAATTGGCGGGCTTTGAAGAAAAGATTTAAACACAAATGCTTGAGTCCAGTAACACTGTGTAAAACCTCTGCTCTCACACAATAGCTTTTGAAATATCAGACAAAAGCTGAGGAACCTAAATCAAGATATTTTGTAAGATGCTTTAATTAGCAAGACTAAAATCAGGTCAATAAAATATATATATATATTTAATGCTGAAAGTGAGATATGGAATAAAAACAAACAACCAAAATGTGCAACGTTTTTCTGGAGTCTGGCTGAATCCGAAAGGTTGTTTAGTGGCTTTCTTTGTTTGTAGTTGTTTTCTCTGTGAAAGACAAATTTTTTGTAGTCTAGCATTTACATCTCATTTTTGATCTACCAACAACAGCTTGTCTTTTTACCCTTCTGTCCTTGAAAATGTTCTTCAAGGCCCAGCATCTTTTTCAAAATCTGTCTCTTAATTTGTAGCTCAAATGCAGAAGCAAAACTTACCCTTGAGACAACATTCAGAGCCATTTCTTAATTTAGGGCATGAGTCAGAATCCAGCAGAGCCATCCATGATTCTACAGTACACAATTCAATTTTTGGCATCAGACCAGCAAGACTCATAAAAATAATGAGAAATAATAATTCTTCTAAAATCTCATAAAACTGAAAAAGACTTCAAAACTCAAAAATTCTTATTACAATTATGGACATCAATGGATTCAATTATGACATTGTACAGGGAACTTTTCATTTTTATCCAAACAGTTTCAATAATTAAATCATATTTTTTCATGTTTCCTGACACTTGCTGTTACCAACAGTGCACTAATCTCTATAAAGGGCCAAAGAAATCAAGGATAATGATCTCCTACTGCTAATTCACAGGAAGGTTTGCAATTTTTACTTTAAAACGTTGTAGGAAGTAAATTGCAGATTTGCCATCACTAAACAAACAGCTTGAAATGACAGACTAAAACAAAATAGATGAAATTAGAGAGAAACGCATGGAGGAACATACAGCTCTAAATTTAGGCCACAAAAAAGTCACAGACGGAAAAAGCAGTCTAAGAGTGGGGCTTGCGACAAATAACTAGAGATATTTAATTTGGGGCTTAAAATAAATTACTGTAATGAAGATCTTTGAAAAGAAAATGCTATTGTAGGTTTTATTAATAAATTCATAGGTTTAAAATACATGGCAGTTCTATTACTGAGAGTCCTACTTGTTCAATGAGCTGTTCTCTGGATGGAGACAGTGACAATTTGGAAAATTCCCTTATAGGGAGTGATGAAAGGAAATAGGGATGCCTTATCTGTATGAGTGGATTTTACATGAAGATAAAGGACCACTGCCTTCAAATGGTTGAAGCACAGTCATCTGGAAGAATAGGGATTAGAACTATCTTCTGAGGGTTCAGCAAGTAAAGCAAGAACCTGAGGGTCAGAATGATAAGCAGTTTCGTTTTAACTTAAAATATAAAATAATTTCTAACATTAGTCATACAAGAGTCTATATTGCTTGCAAAGTATTGTGTTAGGTGCCTTGTGCTGAAAGAGGAGCCACGGTAAGAAAGGGTGCTTACACCTGCAGGGAGCTGACTTCTCAATGACCACTATGTTTCCTACACTGTGTAGACGACTGAGTTTGGTATCTTTATAAGAACAAACTGGCCAAGTGCGGTGGCTCATGCCTGTAATCCCAGCCTTTGGAAGGCTGAGGTGGGCGGATCACGAGGTCAGGAGATCTAGACCATACTGGCTAACACGAAGAAACCCCGTCTCTACTAAAAAATACAAAAAATTAGCCAGGCGTGGTGGTGGGCACCTGTAGTCCCAGCTACTTGGGAGGCTGAGGCAGGAGAGTGGTGTGAACCATGGAGGCAGAGCTTGCGGTAAGCCGAGATCACATCACTGCACTCCAGCCTGGGCGACAGAGTGAGACTGTCTCAAAAAAAGAAAAAGATTAAAAAAAAAGAATAAACTAAGGGGAGGGGATGATACTCATTTAAATTTTAACCTAAAAATGAAAATCACTATGGGAATAAGTACCTAATCATAATACGAATACCCTGTGACAGATGTCTTAAGGGTGTATTGAAAGTTTTCTTTGGTTCCATGTTTGTTTGTTTATTTAATGTATTTGTGTTCTTTTAAAGTCAACAATTCTGAAACAACAAACTGAAGCTTCTGCTTATTCTTTTCTTTGCCTTGATACTTTTTTCCAAAGGTAATGGTTAGGGTTAATGGAATGATCATGATCCCTCTTTCAGTACCTACAATGACACCCAATCCTTTGTAATTGAGTAATCCCAAACCACACTGGATTTTTCTCTCTGACCAGATTTGTACGATATGTACATTTAGCCTTCTTTAATACCCAGGAGTCTAGGTCAGTGAGCTCACTTTCTGAGGACAGAGATTAAGGATATCTTTTCCTTACCTCCAAAAGGTTTATTGAAAGCAATATAATGCCATTAAAATGTTCTTTTGTTGGGGTGGAAGGGGAGTTAAACATAGTTCTAAAGTAAATCATTCAGTCCTAAATTACCAAAAACCTTATGGTGAATATCTACTTTGCTTGCTGAAATAATAACAAATCTTTATTTTGAGCTGTGTCAGAATTGCTGTTACTGAGCTATAGGTGCATTTGTTAAGAGGCACAATTGCAAACATCATGCAGATGAAAAAAACTTACCTAAGAATGTTGTAAGACATTTATACATAAGGATATAGGAAATCTCCAGAAAATGATAGTTTCTTGCAGTTTATCTTATTCAGTTCTTTAAGAATGAGGAATAAAATTTGTGACTGAACATTAATGAAACAACCAG
Source organism: Homo sapiens (assembly GCF_000001405.40). Taxonomy (NCBI): domain Eukaryota; kingdom Metazoa; phylum Chordata; class Mammalia; order Primates; family Hominidae; genus Homo; species Homo sapiens. Next base: position 155,507,537 of record NC_000004.12, on the reverse strand, counting down.
TTAATACATCCTTCCATCATTCTTACCACATATTCTTAAATAGTTTTAAATCTCTCCCTTCTTTCTTGGCTATCTTCCCTTTCTCTCCTTCTCATTCTACCTGTCCTTCCTTCATGCACCATTTCTCTCAGAGGTAATCAAGGACAATTTTCCTGACTTCTGTTTAAGCAGTCTGTGTAGAAAACTAAGGGAATTAGACCCACTTATCTCTAGAAAACCGGTTACATTCAGAGGTCCTGATGAAGATTCTAGATAGATGATAGATAGATAGATGATGTTGATAGATAGATAGATAGATAGATAGATAGATAGATAGATAGAATTCTTTGTATGATTCAATGTAACCATATTTTAAAATAGCAAACTAATCATTCCAATAATTTTCACACTCATTTTATAACTAAAACTGGAATGAAAAGTACTCAAGGCATACTATTTCTGCAAAGCAGTCTCTATCTTCACCAGCCTAGAATGCATCGTCATTGTCTTCATCAGCATGTAGAGAAGCTGATGGTTGTGTTTCCAGCTCTCAGCATCGTTTGGCTGCAGAGATCGGCTGCCCTGCTCATCACAAGGCCAGCTAGAAACATTCAATTACCAGCTGTGGGAGCACAGCTGAGACTGTTATCCTTCGCCCTGTCAGTTTGAGTATTGAAAACAACTGCTGAAGTCCATGATAAAGGAACAAAACTACTTTCAGAAAAGTTGACATCTGAAATACCAAATTCTCCTGGCAACAAGTTAGAGAAAACTTTCATTAATTAAAAAAAAAAGTAGGAACTGACAAATTAGTTTTTCAAGGAAACCAACATTTATATATACTTATAGATTACACAAATACTAGGCTGAGAATAAAAGCTTATACTTTTAGTACCAGCTCTCCACAGGAGAGCCTAAATACAGACAATTATAAAATATTTTTAAAAATACACAGAATCCATTCCTCTGTTTGAAGATATGCATATTTGAAGCAATAGGAAAGCTTGCAAGAAACAGTCTGTACAAAAAGACTTCCAGAAGCAGTACAAAAGAGGACTACTCAGAAATCACATTTCAGACTTGAAAGTAGCTTAAAACTATTTAGTTCAGTCTTCTGTTTTTTCAGCTATGGAACCTGTGAACGGGAAATAAATCTCGGGACCCCCAAATCTCTAAGCCAAAAGGAAAAGTCAAGCTGGAACTGCGTCAGGAAAACCTGCCTCCTATTTTATTCCTAAAAAAGATAGCTAAGAAAGCTACATGCCTGCCTGACAATTCGCCCACAAGGAATTTGCACACAAGGAATAGGGTAAAGACCTTGAGGAAATTTCAGGGTGAAATTCCAGTTCTGTTGAATTTCACCCTGGCAATGTAAACTGATAGCTCATCTTCACAGGTGCAGGGCAGAAAGTCATCCCTCCGCTCACCTGAGACAAATACATATCTGATTGCTTCCTCTACCTTATTGTTTACTTAAAAATGCAGATTCACTAAGCCAGACTAAGGCATAAATGACTATTCCTCTACCCTCCTCTCATATGTAAATTGTGTATTCAGTGAAAAGCTAATCAGAGACTCAAGAGAACGCAAAAGACTTGTCAAAAAGAATTGCCTTTTATCTTCCTATGACGGAACCAATGTACATCTTACATATATTGATTGATGTCTCATGTCTCTCTAAAATGTACAAAAGCAAGCTGAACCCAACCACCTTGGGTACATGTCATCAGGACCTCCTGAGGCTGTGTCACCGGCACATCCTTAACCTTGGCAAAATAAGCTTTCCAAACTGATTGAGACCTGTCTCAGATTTTTTGGGTTACAAACTAAAGAGATACTGTGAACAAAACAAGGACAGGAAATTCACGGGGGGAGAAACAGACTGAAAACTCTGATCTCTTAAGAATTTGTTCACAGTTCTTTCCATCTGAGAAACGTTCTATTCTATGAGTACTTCCTGAGGGCCTAACATATGGATGGCTGTGTGCTGAGTTTGATGGAGCATGCAAAGATGAATCTTCATGCAAACTGCTCACATCATGGGAGGAGCAATACCATATGAAGAGATTTGCTAACACCCAATATAAAGTAGTGTGTGCAACATAATTTCAACATAAGTTCTACTACATTCTTTGAGAACTGGCAAAGTTTAAAACGTGGCCAGCAAGTTTAAAAACATGACCTATGACCTGATAATGCTGCTGCTGTTATTGGTGCAGTTAAAACATAAAAAGTCAGTATTCTATGCTTTTATAAAGGCCATTTTTGACTATAGATTATTGAGCCTTTTTTATGTTCTAAAAATGGTTCCTGTTTTACTTTATGTATTGACCTTAAAATACACGAAAGGTCTAATTATGAGTCAATCCATAGAATAATTTTTATATTCCTCTGATATATTTCCATTGAAAAATTATTCTAGCAAAGCAATTATAAAAAAACTCTTAAAATGAGGTACTACTGCTTAAATTCAAGCACAGTGCAGTATAGTGTTTCTAACTAACAGTTAAATCAGTAATATGATATACTCTAAAGTCTTTAGGCTACAAAATATTAAATTAAAACAATATTTCATAATTAAATGAGAATCAATAAGAGAAAATATTTAACTACACATTTGCGTTTGAAATGAATCAATTCAGGTTGCATTTTGCATATTAGTTCTACTATAATTTGGTTTTCACATTGTTCATGAAAAGTCTCTTCTGGAAAATAAACTAGGGAAGAAAGCTTAAAAATTAACTTTATTAGTGAAAGTGAAGAAAATTAAATGTATGCCAAGAAGTTTAGAAATTATTTGGAGATGTCATTTGTGTTATTGTTCTCCTTTGCTATCTTAAAGAGATATCGATGGGGACAGGAAAGCTCTCTTTTTTTTTTTTTTTTTCCCACAATGTCAGTTCTTACCACAATAAAGCTCAGATTTGATTTTATGGAAATGTCAAAAAAAAAAAGGAAAATCATTTCTTCAATTATTTATCTTCTTATTATGAACATGTTCCTCTCTCTGTGTCTGCCAAGTCATCACAAATTATCACCATCAGTGTTCATGAAAGCTCAGGTCCTAGAAAATTCTCAGAGTTGTTTATTATAAAGCATTTGCCTAAAACATATCCTTTTCGCATGTGAGCCTTATAGATAAAAATGATCCTGAGTGGGCCGGGCACGGTGGCTCACGCCTGTAATCCCAGCACTTTGGGAGGCCGAGGCGGGCGGATCACGAGATCAGGAGATTGAGACCATCCTGGCTAACACGGTGAAACCCCGTCTCCACAAAAATACAGAAAATTAGCCGGGCATGGTGGTGTGCGCCTGTAGTCCCAGCTAATCAGGAGGCTGAGGCAGGAGAATGGCGTGAACCCGGGAGACGGAGCTTGCAGTGAGCCGAGATCGAGCTACTGCACTCCAGCCTGGGCAACAGAGCGAGACTCCAACTCAAAAAAACAAAACAAAACAAAACAAAAAAAGATCCTGAATTAAATAGACGGAGGACAACCTGTTTTGTGCCCCATTATATACTAAAATGCTACAAGCCATTCCAAAACCTTTACAGTATGCTACTAAAATCTAAAAACAATACAAGCAACAACAACAAAAAGAGTAAATGTTCTGAAGGAAAGAAAAAATAATACTAAAGGCAACTTAAAAAATAATACCTATAAAAAACCATTTTTATAAATCGTGTTACCTCATTTCCCTTCCACAATTATAACAGCATGGAAAAAACAACCAATTTCATTTTTTGCGGTAGGGTAGAAAATTGCAGTAAGCTTTCTGGTGACCATCTGTGATTTAATAGCCAAAACGTTTATTTTAAGACTCAGTTCTGTAGTTTCTGTGAAACTATTTAGGATTCTACAATCCAAATTGATGATACTAAAGTGCAAATATAAAGCAGATGCATCTAAATTATATTAGAAAAAGTTTAAAATGGTACTTGATATTTTCTAGTTTAAGTATGCGAATACTAATATGCACTAGGAATCAAATGTTGAGCAACAACTTAGATCATCTTTTCTTCTTTGCTTCCTGCTTTAGTCGGCTAGTGCTGCCATAACAAAGTACCACAAACTGGGTGGCTTCAACAACAGGAATTTATGGTCTCACAGTTGTGGTGGCTAGAAGCCTGAGATCAAGGTGTCAGAAGGTTTGGTTCCTTCTGTAGGAAAATTTGTTCCATGCCTTAGCCTCTGGTTGGTGATTTGCTGGCAATCTCTGGCATTTCTTGGCTTGTAAAAGCATCACTCCTCTCTTTGCCTTCATCTTTAGATGATGTTGAGCCTGTGTGAATTTCTAGCCAAATTTCCTTTCTTAAAAAGGACAACAGTCAGGAGCCCATTCTACTTCAGTATGACCTCATTCTCACCATAATTTACATGTGCAAAAACCTCATTTCCAAATAATGTCTCATTCTGAAGTTTTGGGGGTTAGGACGTCAACATACGAGTTTTGAGGGAAGACAGAACTTAATCCATAACGTTTCATAATGGAGGAGAGAAGTGTGAAAACTGATAATGAAATACAAAAATGATAGTTTTTCAAATGATTTCAGTTGACATTCCAGTCAAATATTCTTGTTTGCAATGTAGAAAATCTCAAAATAATGAGATTTAACAATCTACCTAGAGAAAATTAGTATTCAATATTGATCTATGTGATTGGGGTGGAAAGTTAAATTGTTAGTAAAAAAAAAATTCATTTATTTGTGAATAAAGAAATATTTTTTCCAAAACATTTCTCATTCAACTGTATTCTTGTTCTGTTTTTCTCTTCGGAAAATTAGATATTATTTAGCTAATTATAGGGTTTTGATGCTAGGGATATTTAGAATATGTTCAGTATACAAAGTTAATTCTTGATTGTCATTGTTTTATTAAATTAATAATTGCAGAAAATTCACTATTTGTAACACATATTTTTGCCAAAGTTTAATTATAAAATTAAAAATGAGTACACAGACAATTTTAAAATATGTATATCAACCAAATAGACTTTGGGAAATGTCCCCTAAAGAATCAAAATCACTTGAACACAAGAAGTTTATTACAGTATTGTTTATAATAGCAAAAATCTAGAAAACAAACTGAATTCCATTAAGAATGCACCGCTTGAATAAATTAAGGTTTATTCAGCCTATGTAATATTATACTATGATTAAAAATAAAGATTTATATTTTTTTATCTGAAGTGATGCCCAATATATCTTTTAAAGGTAAAAAAGAAAAAGATAATTTCCAACAGATGTGTATTGTATAGTGCCACTTTTATTAAAAAAAAATATATGTATATGTATGCCAATGTGTTTTTGCATTGACCCAGTAACATATGTGGAATGATAAATACCAAAGTATAAATATCAGTTATTTTAGGGGTTTGGAGTTCAAAGAGAGAAGATGAAATTATTAACAATATTTCCTAAGACATGGACATTCTCTTTATATGATCAGATACAAATTAACCAAATTGGGAAATGAAACACAGAAACAATAGTATAAAACCGCAGATCATATTTCAAATTTATCAATTGTCTTATAATGCCTTACAGAGCTATTTTCCACAGTTTAGGATCCAATCCAGGATCACACTGCATGTCATGCTCATGTCTCTTCAGACTCCTTTACTCTAAGATAGTTTCACAGATTTTCTTTGCTGTCTTTGTGTTGACAGTTTTCAAAAGTGTAGATCAGCTACTTTAAAGAATATTTCTCATTGTGTTTTTTTTTCTGATGATTCCTTATGATTTGATTCAGAAAATGACATTGTATTCCTTTCACTGCATCATGTCAGCAAGCACTTGGTATCAGTTTGTCCTGATACAGTGAAGTGAACATTGATCTCTTCATTAAGGTGATGTCACCCACCAGAATCGTCAACCATAAATTAACTATCTACCCCTATATAATTAATAAGCAATTTGTAGGGAGCTATTTTAAGACTGTGTAAATATCCTATCTCTTGTTAATCTTTTTAATTTGCATATAATATAAATTCAGATTTTTATTTTATTCAATAGATTACAATTTATTATTTTCCGTTAAGCCAAGATAGTTAGTAGAATTGTGTAGATATCTTATTCCTGCACTGATTTGCTACTGAATTCTTGGTCTAATTTTCTATCATTACTAAAAAGGACTGTAAGATATTCAAATACATGTTTGGATTTTTTAATTCCTCCCTATATCTTAACCATTTTGCTTTCGTATTTTGAAGCTCTGTTGTTAGGTGCATACTCATCTATAATGGATATGTCTCCCTCAAAAATTACCCCATTATCACTGTGAAATTTCTTTCTTGATTTTTCTGATAATAATAGAGCTATTTTAGCTTTCTGATACTTAGTATTCCATGGCATATATTTTTCCGTTCCTTTCTTTTAAGCTACTTGTTTCCTTCTAAACAAAGCTCACCATTTGGTTTTGCTTTATATACAGTCTGACAATCTGGCCTTTTAATTGTAATGTATATTCTATTTGCGTTTAACATAATCATTGGTTTGATTTAGGTTTACTGTTTTGCTATTGTGTTCTATTTGTCCTATTTGTTTTTTAGTCCTGTGTTCTTCCTCTTCTGCCACTTTTAGCTAACCAAATATTTTTGTATTCTATTTTAATTCTTCTAATGGCTTTTTAGTAAGAACTCATAGTTGTATTGTTATACTACTTCATAAAAAATGGAAGAACATTGAGGCCAGGTGCGGTGGCTCACACCTGTAATCCCAGCATTTTGGGAGGCTGAGGCGGGTGGATCACGAGGTCAGGAGATCAAGACCATCCTGGCTAACATGGTGAAACCCCATCCCTAATAAAAATACAAAAAAATTAGCCGGGCGTGGTGGCAGGCACCTGTAGTCCCAGCTACTCGGGAGGCTAAGGCAGGAGAATGGCGTGAACCTGGGAGGCGGAGCTTGCAGTGAGCTGAGATCATGTCACTGCACTCCAGCCCTGGCGACAGAGGGAAACTCCACCAAAAAAAAAAGAAAAAAAAAAAAAAGTAAGAACATTGAACCAGTGTCTCTGCATTTACAATTCTGCACGCTATTATTGTCATCTTTTTTATTTGTATATGTTACAAATATGTACATGTACATATGTACATGTATATGTTACAAACCCATTACACAATATTATGTTTTTATTTTTATACTAAATTGACTTTTTTAAAAGTAAAAGAAGTATAAAAGATATTTGCTAAACATGCATATTTGAGCCAGGTGTGGGGGCTCATGCCTGTAATCCCAACACTTTGGGAGGCCAAAGTGGGAGGATTGCTTGAGCCTAGGAGGTCAAAGCTGCAGTGAGACCTGATGGTGCTACAGCACTCCAGCTTGGGCACCAGAGTGAGACCCTACCTCCAAAAAAAAAAAAAAAAAAAAGAAAGAAAAGAAGGAAAGGAAAAGGAAGGAAAGAAAAAAAAGAAAAGAAAAAAGAAACAATATTCATGTTTTTACGATTAGTAATACTTTTCATTTCTTCCTGTGGATTTGAGTACCCATCTGGAGTCATTTTTTAATTCAGCCTGAAAACCTACCTGTAGCACTCTTTTTTATTGAGATGGCCTTACTTTGTCACCCAGGCTGGAGTGTGGTGGCATGATCATAACTCGTTATAGCATTCCTTTAATGCTTTCATTTATTTGAAAATAACCACAGTTTGCAGACTCTCTGTTCATATTTTTAGTTTTTTTCTTTCTGTCCTTCATATTAGATAATTTCTACTAATTTATCTTCACATTCCCTAGCCCTCTCTTATGCTCTCTTTAATCTGCAGTTAATCTCATCAAATGAGTGTTTTATTTGTGTGTTGCAATTTTCAGTTCTAGAATATTATTTGATGATTCTTCATAGTTTCTATTTCTCAGATGACATTTCATATCTATTCATTCATTATAATCATAGCATGTTATTTGTTTTGTGCTTCAATATATTTATGATAGCTACATTAAAGTCCTTTTCTGTCAATTACAACCTCTGAGTTTTCTTAATGCTGGATTCTATTTACCGCTTCTCTTAACTGCAGGTCTCATCATTTCTCTGTGTGTTTCTGTGTCTCAAAAAAAAAAAAAAATTACCAAAGGCAACTGATAATGAAGTGTGCTGAACAATTTTTTAAATTATGTTCTTAAAATATGAATAGATTCAGCCTACATCTTTAGTAATTACATGGATATCTTCATCACCCCCAGTGAAGCAAGGCTTAAGTCAATCTAAGCATTAAAATTAATCTTACAGAGCTAGAGTTCCTTGGGGAACAACAAATCTTCTCTTCATTTTATATAGGAAACACATTTAATATAAATGTTATTCTTTACTGCCAAAACAAAACCATAAAACAACAGGATATCAAAATATCATCCACTAGGAAACAAATTCTTAGACATTGCTTGTCGTCTTATAAACTGGTGAAGATTTTCTGAAAAGCAATCTGGTAATATTTAGTCAAATTAAGAATGCAGGTACCCAATGACCTACTCTACCAATTTATAGGTTTTATAACCCATAGAAATTCTCAATGAGATTCATGACCGTTGTGGGTATTGACTATTGTAGTACGAAGGTGGAGCATGTCTGAGAATACATGAGCACTGTTTTTGGTGCTGGTGTTTTGGAGGGCAACAAAGTGCTTATTACTAAATAAATTAAGATTAAAAAGTGGTGGGTATACATTATGAACTCCAGAATGCAGTTAGAACCAATAAACCAGGTGGACATACATAAACATGCATATATATAAGCACAATTGCTTGAATAGCAAATGAATGTGAAATATTTCTTAGACATAATTTATATGAAATAAATAGCAGATTAAGTGAAATTAATAAATTACCATCAAGATATAAAATAGAGATTATTTTTAAACACTGCATATGTATTCAAATCATATATCAAACCAGAAGAATTGTTTTCTATGGAGGAGAAAAATGAAATTGAAATCTTGGATGAAGACTACCAAAAGAATAGATTGGCTTCTTCTTAATACTAATGATGATAATGTGCAATGAACTGACGGGTAGATTCACTCAATTCTTTTTTTTTTTTTTTTTTTTTTTTTTTTTTTGAGACGGAGTCTCGTTCTGTCGCCCAGGCGGGAGTGCTGTGGCGCGATCTCCGCTCACTGCAAGCTCCGCCTTCCGGGTTCACGCCATTCTCCTGCCTCAGCCTCCCGAGTAGCTGGGACTACAGGCGCCCGCCACTGCGCCCGGCTAATTTTTTGTATTTTTAGTAGAGACGGGGTTTCACCGTGGTCCCGATCTCCTGACCTCGTGATCCGCCCGCCTCGGCCTCCCAAAGTGCTGGGATTACAGGCGTGAGCCACCGCGCCCGGCCTCAATTCTTTACCATTAGGTACACTCGAAAAAAAAATCTCCCCTTGAGCTAAAAAGAATTTCACATTTTAATCTTTTAAAATTTTCTGGCATATAATTTAAAAATATCTATTTAAAGGCATATACTTCCAGAAAATTATTTTAGGGAAAAGCCATAAATATCCATTACTGGAAACAAATTTAACACTCAATAATAGAAAGCAGTTAAAACTCATAACTATATTTAGCCACTAAAATCATATGATGTAAATGTTTAGAAAAGAGAAAAATAGTTATTAAATTTTAAGATATATACAAAACCAGTATGAGTATTATGATTCCAATTTTGTTGGAAATGTGTATATATAAAAAAAAGAATAAAAAGATACTCCAAAAATATTTACAACAGTGATGTTTTATGTCTGGAATGATTGATCAATCCTGTTAACAAACCTTAAAAAAATCAAAGAGGCAGGAAAGAACTAAAATATTCTCTATTTTGTCATCCTTTCCTAAGTCTATATATGAATGCCTTTTTATTCTGTTTCTGTTTTTGCCCCTCTTTCACTCTACCATTCAGTAAGAGCTACCACTGAAGATACCATTTGCTTTGGGCTCAATGCTTGTGTCTCCCTAAAATTTTCATGTTGACATCTTAAACCCTCAGGCGATGGAATTAGGAAGCGGGGCCTTTTGGGACTGGTGCTCCTATTTTAATAGGCCCAAGGGAGCTTGTTTGCCCCTTCCACCATGTGGACACAAGGAGATGGTGCAGTCTGTGAATCAGAAAGCAGGTGCTCACCAGACACCAAATTTGCTAAAATCTCAATCTTGGAATTCCCAGCCTCCAGAACCGTGACAAAATTTCTATTGTTTATAAGCCATCCAGTTTATGGTATTTTTTTAACGTAGCAGACTAAAAGTACTAAGACTCCATCTAATGAATGGAAATGGATTTATCAATTTTCAATCCAATTTTCCTAGGGTACAGAAAAAAGAAAAAATGTAATTATATATACTTAAATATTTCTCATTGATATCTCACAAAAATATATAGATTTATGCAATTCACTTAGTAAGAGTATTTAAGAAGGAAGATCATGGGCAAAAATGAGGAAGTTTACTCTTAGCTCTATTTTTCTCTTTGCAAATTCATCAGGATTACTGCTTGATCTTATGCCTTGTGAATGCTATCCTTAGGATTTCTATAACCGTAGTTCAAGTTTTAACTTATTGTATGTATCATAGTATAATTTGTTCTCTATCAGTCTTTATGTCCACCTCATTCACCTACCACCTACAAAATTTTTTAGATAGCCTTCTTTGCAAAGTGTTTAGTCTCACATTGTCATTTTATCCTTCCAGCAACATTATTAAACATAAATTCCTTACAGTCATGTTTTCATCTTCCTTTTACAACTTCAGTGGTTACTAAATATTTCTAACAGAGTGAAATAAAATACCCATTATATTATAGCTTTGCCTTGTGAGTTTGAGTCCAATGTAACCAGCTTTTGTTTAAACAGTAGAAGTAAAGTGATAGTGCAATAAAATGAAATCCAGTTAAAAAACATTTCCTACTAAGTGCAACACATTATGCCAGATGCTGCAGGAGAAAAAAAATTACAAACCTGTCCTATCTTCCAAGAGTCAACAGTTTCATTAACAATAGTAATTATATTATATTTTTACTCTTAATGTTCTTCCCTGAGGAAATGGCTTCTCCCGAAGCACTCTCAAGGCATGAGTTTTTTTTATCTGTTTCTCTCTTGCAGCCTTCTTACCTTCCAGCCTGTAGTGGGGGTAGGTGTTCCATTTGTCCTCCTTGTGGCTTTCAGATCAGCCCTCCTCCCTCCTCGAACAATCCTCCATTTTTAAACCTCATTTCTCATGATGCTGTCATCCGTGGCAACTCCATTAAAAGCCCAACATCTCAAATGTTTGTTCCTGGCTCCCCAGTCCTGTCTAAATTCTTGGCTATTAATGTATATTTCTTCCAATTTCCTGCATTCTCAGTTCCTAGAGCTCCTCTCCTATGAAGATGTTCTCTTCTGAGAGGCTGAGACAGGAAAATCCCTTGAATCCGAGAGGTTGCAGTGAGCCTAGATCACGCCTCTGCACTCCAGCTTGGATGACAAAATGAGACTCCGTCTCCAAAAAAAGGAAAAAAAAAAAGATTTTGTCTTCCACCTGTCTCAACTACCCTAATTTGCCATTACTAAAAAACACAGCCCTCTTATTTCAATTTCCTTTACTTCGTTTATGACCATCTCCTTTCCTTCCTGCACATTCCCTTTATGTCTCGGACTTCAGAAATCCTCAAAACCTACTGAAAAGACCATTCCTGTGATTCTACTTGCTTTGCACTCACTTTCGTCTTCTTCGTTTCCTTTTTGCTCCTTATCTAGTTTAAATTCCACTGTCATTACAGTCACTCCCATGCAGTCATCCTTAACTCTCTTGCTTTTATCTCACTTGGCAAGTCACAGTGCTAATTAATCCAAGTTTCCACCTATTCCCTGCTGCACCAGAGCAGCTAAATGGGGTTGGTGAAATGCTTGATGCGTGTGAACCTCAAACATCCCATAAAGTGGCCTGGTGGTCCCACTGTGCTTCCCCCAGTCTACTCCTTTTCCCGCTGTCCTCAATGGACGCCTTCCCTTGTCTCGTCTCTGCAAACTTTCAGTGCTTTCCTCCATCGTTGGTCTCAGTGGAGAAACTTCTTCTCCTGTCACTGAAAAAATTGAAGCTATCAGGGTCTGGCTCGGTGGCTCAAGCCTGTAATGCCAGCACTTTGAGAGGCCAAGGTGGGCGGATCATGAGGTCAGGAGTTCGACACCAGCGTGGCCATGATGATGAAAACCCTCTACTAAAAATACAAAAATTAGCTGGGCATGGTGGCCTGTGCCTGTAATCCCAGCTACTCGGGAGGCTGAGACAGGAGAACTGCTTGAACCCAGGAGGCAGAGGTTACAGTGAGCCGAGATCTCACCACGGCACTTCAGCCTGGGGGGACAGAGCAAGACTCTGTCTCAAAAAAAAAAAAAAAAAAAAAAAAAAAATTGAAGCTATCAGAAAAGTATTTCTCAATTCCCCTCTTCATATCTTTACAGCATTCGCACCTGTGGACTCTGTCTTTAGTGAGCCATCTGTGTTTTTATCTAAAGCTAATTCCTCCACATGTGCACTAGATCCCATTTGCCAGCAATTCTTCCCTCTGTCTCCTATTTCTCCAATTTTCCTCTCTCTACTAGATTATTTCCAACAGCCTACAGGTATGCAGTTATTTCTCCCATCTTAAAAAAAAAAGAAAATCTTATTTGACCCCATCTTCCCCTTTGTGCCAAAATTTCTCAAAAGATCACTTATATTGGATGACTCTAGTTTCTTTTCCCAATTTTTCCAATTTTTATATTTAATTTAAAAATAGCTTTAGTTTTTAAATAGTTTGAAGCAATTTATGGAAAGTTCAAAGGCATATAGGACTAAATGTTGAAAAAAAATTGGAACATTAATAGCCATTCCTAAATTACTAAAATATTGTAATCTTTATAAAGACAGATAAAAAGTTGAATATTATTGCTTTTTGATATCTCAAACTACAATGACAATACATGTTAGACTAAGAAGGACTGATACTGTCGTGGACTAACAGGTAACTATATTTATTTTATTTTATATTTTGGTGTTATACAGAGCCTTACCCGGTCAGGTCTCTCAACAGTTATGCAACACACTTTTACAAATGTACCAGTAAAGATAGGAATAGATTCCAGTGAAAACACTGGTTCTTGTAATGAAGTTTAATTTTTTCCACTTTAAACTGGGTTCTAGACTTTTAGCAGAATAAGCAAAGTCTTTTCCTGGGATCAGTATTACAGAACCGGTTTCTAGCTTCAGGTTTTATGCTTTTAATTCAGAATGTTAAAAGGTCTATTTTTAGGAAGAACGTTTTGTGCAACGTTTGATCTCATTTCAAGGTAAATAGATGTGAAATCTGAATCCAGATTCTGAAACTTTTTAGTCTCTTCAGTAATTCCCAGTGATGCCAAACCTGAATGTTTTGAAAGAAGTAAGTGTTCACAGTGCCAACATTAGAGAAACATTTACATTGTTCTCCTTGGGTGTATATTAATCTGAATGCCGTCTTATTTAATCTTCATAAAGCATTAGATTTAAAAAATTAGTATGAGGAAAGATAGCATTTCCAAATAGTTGAACTGTAAACCACCTAGTTTCCAGTCATAATACCTGTCTCAGTTTACTTCTCATAACTCTAAACCTGGAATTGATGATTTCATGGAAAGATAAATTCCTAAAGAAGTAAATTCATACAAACAAGGAATTAAATGCTGTATCTAGAACCTCAAAATTATATACTCTTTAGTCCTTATGTTTACCAAGCAAAGGACTTGCAGGAGAAAGGAATGCATCATCTTTACTATCTCTATATTTAAAATATTTAACATATTGCTTTGAATTATTTAGTGTTTAAGAAACTATAGTTCTATTCTTGGGTGGCCAATTCATGATGGAAGAAGAAAGTAATTATGGTAGCATATTTGAATAGCACCATCGGGTTTTTAAAATTTGCCTTGGCCTATGCATGTGCATTTGAAAGCTGATTAGAGCTTTGAGGAAAGAATGTCAGGAAGAATGCTGAGAGACAGTAAAGCAAAGAGATATAAATGATGTCTCTAAAGCAAATCAATAAATTAGATGAAGGCAATTTGGGGGGAAGGGGAACTGAAATAAGAGTGTCAGTAAAGAAATGGGAGAATTCAAGATGGTAGCATGGTTTCTAGCTTGAGTGACTGGATAAATAGTAAAGCCATTGACATGGATAATAAAGGAGGAGAAATGAGTTTGAGGAAAAAATAGTAAGTTCACATTTGAACTTGTTTCATTTGAAGTACCTAAAACATGCAGATTGACACCAATCTCTTTTAAAAAAGAGGTAAAAATATACATTCTGGTATTATCAGAATATTATGGATAGGTGAAGCCAGGTAGGAATACCTGTACTGAGAGAAAGGAATCTGGCTGAAAGAGGATCCTGGTATCATATGAACCTCAAAGAAGCAGGCAGGGGAACTGGCAGAGAAACAGAGAAAATAAAGACCAGAAAGGCAGCAGGAGCTGTGTCAGAAAATCATGAGTTTTAGTGAGAAGTTATTTCAGAGGAGTTTGGAGGTGAGGCTTGCCCATTTTCACAGCATTGTTCAACCCACCGAATGGCCTTTGCCTTCCCCTCTCACCCTTTACAAAACGTTTCCTGCCAAGTGTAAGCCTCTCTTCTCCCAAGCTCAGAGTAACCTCACCCAGTAGCTTCTTAGACACCTAAAAGCACTTTATCCAAGATTTCTTCTTTTGGCAGCTTAAAGTTCTTAATTATTACTTACAATTTCAATCTTAAACAGTTACCATCTTAACCTCTCCTCTTGCTCCTAACTCTCTTTGTCTTGTGCTACTCTTTCCAATAACAATTACCATTACTAATAACTGATAATCAACAATCTCACCTTCAAGCTATATTAGTTTGCTCGAGCTACTGTACCAAAGTCCCACAGATCAAGTGGCTGAAACAGCAGAACTTTATTTTCTCACAGTTTTGAAAGCTAGAAGTCTGAGGTGAAGATGTCAGCAGGGTTGGCTCTGTCTGAGGGTCATGAGGGAAGATGTGCTCCAGGCCTCCCTCCTTGGCTTATTGTTTGCCATCTTCCTTCTATGTCTTCATATTTTCCTCCTTATCCTCATGCCTGTGTCCAAATCTCCTCTTCTTGTGAGGACAACAGTCATATTGTGTTAGGACCATCCTATTGACCTCATTTCAGTGTATTTACCTTTGTAAAGACCCTGTCTAAAAATATGGTCACATTCTGAGGTATTTGGGGTTAGGACTTCAACATATGAATGCTGAGGAGACAGAATTCAGCCCATAACAAAAACTATCCTGAATATCACCCCTGCACTAGAGAGCATCTCACCCTTACCCCTGTTCTCCCCACAGCCTGGCCCCAAATTTACGCCTCACTCCTGCTCTATGTCTTATATAGATTACATCAAAAAGCTGTCTTGCCTTCTGGTTCCATGATGGATTGGGCTAATGGGAATCATTTTAGAAAAATGGAGGGCAGGAGGAGAGTAAAATCAGTCTTGTATTCCCAGAATTCCCACCTGCCCAATAATGTGGGCCATCTTGGGATCCTGGCAGAGGACTTGCTCCTTACAGCTACCTTCTTCAGCTTGCACCCTTCTCTTGCCCCCTTCAGGCTTAGGGGTGATAACTCATTGGTGTTCTCAGGGTGCTGCACTACTGTGCCATGTGGGCTGCCTAAACTCTGACCTACATTTGTAAATAGTCTGTTTGCCAAACTTCCTCAATTGCCAAGTTTGAATATTCCAACTGTTTTTTGCGAGGGCCCTGACTAATATAACCTCCTATTTTTCATCTTGTTTTCTAGTATTCACCTTCAAAAAACTTTCTATCTGACTGCAACTTTCGGTCTGTTGATTCTACCACCTTTCACTATCCCTCGTTCCCTTTACGTCCTCATTTTCCTCCTTGTTTGGTTTATATTTTGTCATTGATCTTTATAATCATTCCTTTGCTATCATCTTCAACTCTGTCCCACTGTAGCTGAGTTGCACTGCCTTGGCAAAAACTCAACCCAGTTTAAATCAGCTTTCTCCCTATTCTGTGCCTGCACCATCCCCATAAATATAGCAGAAGGAAAGTATGCAAATATGCTGAACTCATGAACCCCAAACAAAACCAAAACCACAGCCTGAATGCAGCCTGGTGGTCATACTATATGTTGCCAGTTTACTCACTGTCTTGCTCTTCTAGATGGCATACTCCCCTTTCTTTTCAAGCAGTCACAGTCTCTTCTCCAATGCTCATTTTCAGCTCATGGCTTTGTTTCCTTTTTTCACCAAGAAACTTGTAGCAATCAGAAGAGCTCTTATTACTATCCATTTCCTTCTACTTCTCTTTGTGCCTATAATTTTCTAAATTATCTCCTGTTTCTGTGGAGGAATCACTTATCTAAACCCAACCTTTCTGTGTGTCCATTAGATCTGTTTCTCTCTTTCTTATTTTTGTTTTCTATTGACATGATTTGGATCTGTGTCCCCACCGAATCTCATGTTGAAATGTAATCCTCAATGTTGGAGGTGGGGCATGGTGAGAGGTGATTGGATCATAGGGGCAGATTTCTCTCTTGGTATTGTTGCCACAATAGTGAGTGAGTTCTCATGAGATCTGGTTGCTTAAAAGTGTGTGGCACCTCTCCCCAACCCCTCTTCCTCCTGCTCTGGCCATGTGAAACATCTTTCCTCCTTCGCCTTCTGCCATGATTGAAAGTTTCCTGAGGCCTCCACAGAAGTAGAAGTTACCATGTTTCCTGTACAGTCTACAGAACTGTGAGCCAATTAAACCTCTTGTCTTTATAAATTACCCAGTCTCAAGTATTTCTTTATAACAGTGTGAGAATGAACTAATTCATCTATCTTTGATGGCATGACTGTTTACTACTCTACTGAATCATTCCCATGAAGATACAAAGATGCAGTTAGTTCTCCCATCTTAAAACAAACAAAAATCTTGTTCCAAATTCCTTTCCCCATCCTGCTACCTCCCCATTTCTCACTTTTTCTTTATAGCAAAATTTCTGGATAGAGTTTCTTATAGTTGGTATCCCCAATTCCTCACCTTCTGTTGCCTCCTGAACCCATGCCAGTTAGGTTTGACCCTCTACCAATCCACAAAAAGTATTGTTATCAAGTCACCAGTAATCTCCATGTTCCTAAATTCAGCTCTCAGTCATCATTATCCTTGACCCATCCTAGCATATGGCACAGTGAGTATTTCTCTACCTGGAAATGCTTTCTTCCCTTGACTTCCAGGACATCGTACTCTCTCAGTATTCTACCTACCTCTCTGGCTGTTCCTTCTCCTGCTCCTTTGCCAACTCCTCTTCATTCCTCCAAACTTAGAATTTGGGAGTCCTTCTAAACTCAGTCATTGAACCATTTTCATTTCCATTTATTCATCCCCCATACTCATCTACTCACATAGCTTTGAATACCATCTTTATGGTGATTACTGTCAAATGTATATCTCCAAACTTGACCTGAAGTCCAGACCCATTTATCTGACTTCCTACTCTATCTTTCCACTAGGGTGTTTAATAAATACCTGAAGCTTCACATTTCCACAGTTGGGTTCTAATATTCCCCCCAAAGCTTCCCTTATCTGCAGTCTTCCTTCTCTCAACTAATTACAATGCAATACTTCTAGTTGTTCAGGTCAGTAACCTCGCAGTCATCCTTCTCTCAACTAATTACAATGCAATACTTCTAGTTGTTCAGGTCAGTAACCTCGCAGTCATCCTTAACTCCTCTCCCTCCACCTCATATGTAATAAGCAAATCCTGCTGGCTCCACAAGAAAAATAATTCCAGAGTTTACTATTTATAACAATTTCTGCTACTACCCTTGTGGTCCAGTACACATTCCACTTTACCTGGATTATTATAAAAGCCTCTTAAATCTCTCTGCTTCCACCCTTGCAGCCCTTTAATCTTTATTCAGCCTATAATTCAGCAGACAGTTATCCTTCCTATATATAAAACAAACCATGCCACTCCTCTGCTCAAAATCTACTAATTTCTTCCCATCTCATTTATATAAAATCCGAAGCCCTTGTTCTGACCTACTTGCCAGCATGAACTCATCCCACTTTCTTCCCTTCCTACTACTGTGTCTCCCCGCTTCACCCTCTTGAGTCATCTGGCCTCCTGGCTTTACTCAAACATGCCAGTGATGCTCCCACTTCAGGGCCTTTGCACTGTTTGTCTCTGCTTCTATTCCCCCAGATGGCTGAACAACTCATTCCCTCACTTCCTTCACCTATGTAGTAAAACATCACTTTTTCAATGAAGAGTTTCATGGACGCTTAACATTTCAGCCCCTTAACATTTATATTCACTATTTCTTGCTTTATCTTTTCCTGTTGCATTTCTACTATATATCCGTATAAATTTGGGATGGCGGAAAGATGAATAGGAACAAAGGGAAAATGAGAACAAGGAAGGAGGCAAGGGTCAAGGAATAAAGGGATTTGTATGCCTTGTGATATTATCTTGATTATATCCTGAAGCCAAGAAGGAACTATAAAGGATTTTAATCAAAGAAGTGGCCTGAGCTGTGTTTTAGAACAAAATCATGAGCAGCAATGTGGAAGATAGAATGGGAAAAGTGAGGAGCTAGTGGAATGGGGTCAAAACTGAGTGTAGGGAGTACATTAGACAGGAAATGAGTGCCTAAGGAGGATGTCAGTGTGAGCCAGAGACAAGAGGCCTGAGATGAGCTGTGTGCAGTATGCAGAATTGCACAAACACCCAATAAGATAAAATAAAAAAAACAAAATCACCCAGCGTAAGTTAAAAGCATCATAATAGTTAACTTTGGAGCAGTAGCTTATGAAACGTTTAGAAGATTAAAAATCTATTCAAAGAAAAAAATTAAGGCTTATATAAAAAATAAGAAGAATTCTGCTAAAGCATTACAATTACAATTGTAAGATATACCAGGAAATCTGAATTGTAATAATTTTTATAGTACTAAAAAGGGGAGGTAGCAAATCTTATATTTGCCTCTAAGTCATAGCTATAAATGTACAGAGAAAACTGAGAAACTAATTTGGAATCCTTACTGCTCATGCTCAAATGTTGATGTAAATGGATAGATCAGGAACTCTAGAGAACATGGGTAAAATTTCTCATGGAAAATCTTGTACAGCCAGGGGGTGGTATGAGATGAGGCACTTCTGAAAGAATAGAGATTTGAGAAGATTGAAACATGCTGAGAAAGGAATGCTTGATAGAGAATGCAAGGAGAGAGAGGAAAGATAAGCCCTGAGCCTTAAAACTGAAGTTTTCTATCAAGTCATGCCAATAAAAACTATGATGTTTTTGACCACCTACTCAGAAACAGATATTTCATATTTCATCCTCAAACAATGTCCTGAATTAAGTTAAACTGATCCTCTGTTATTCATGAGAACCAAAACTTGAGATCAGAGAGCTAATGAGTGGTAGAGCAGGGATTGAACCCCAGTAGTCAGAACTTCCTTCACCAAGCTGTGCCAGTGAGATTTCTGAATCAATTCAGATAATATACTCTAATGGAGATAGTGATGTCAAAGAGAAGCAAAGATTTCTAGCTGTCTTTCAGTTTTCTTATGTAAGCAGCAAATACCCACAAATATACATCTGTCCCTAAACTCTTCCTAAAGCTCCAAACTGGTATACCAACTACCGTCTTGAAATCATTACTTGCATGTTCCAAGGTTATCTCAGAATCAACACATGCAAAATGAACGTTTTATGTTCCCCCTTAAATCTGCTCCTGTTTCTGGCCTACAAGAGATTATCATTGAGGATATAAATAAGGCACGTTTGAGTTTATATACTGTCTCATGTCTTCCATCCTTCTCTCCAATCCTGTCCCCTGTTCAGTGTTCCCTCTTCAATGAATTCAAACTGTGCACGACAGAAACCTGGGAATCATTCTTGGATCTTGCCCAGCTCCTCACCATTCCTATATCCCATTCCCCATCAGTACAGCAGCCAGAATGATCTTTTCAGAATACAAGTGTATCAGATCACAAGCTCTTCAGTGATTTTCTAGTGCTTTCAGTATAAAGAGCCATATTCCTAAAGTGGTCCCATGCACTGGCTGTATCTGGTTCCTCAGCTCATTTCAAACCATGCTCCCACTTGTACTCTGCACTGTTCACACTGGCTTTCTCTCAAGACAAGTCAAGGTATCTTCCCATACAGAATATTTGCATACATGTGTATTAGTCAGCTTAGACTGCCATAACAAAATACCACAGACTGGGTGGCTTACACAGCAGAATATAATTTCCTAAAAAATCTGGAGGTTAAAAGTCCAAGATGAGGGTGCTAGCATGGTTGGTTTCTGGTGAAGACTCTCTGACTTATAAGTGACTGCATGTCACTGTATGTTCTCACTTAAATGATCTGTTCTTTGTGTGTGCACAGAGACAGAAAGAGAGAGACAGAAAGAGAGAGAGAACTGTAAGGTATCTTTCCTTATTTCTTATTAGGGCGCTGATCTCACCGTGACAGCTCCTCCTGACCTCATCTAAACTTAAGTATCTCCCAAAGGCTAATCTCCAAATACCATTACATTGGGGGTTAGGGCTTCAAAATATGATTTTTAGGGGGACACAATTCAATTCATAGCAGTGCCTTTGCCTTGAACACCCTCCAAACTCCTTCTCATTGCTGCCTTTTTTTTTTTTTGAGACGGAGTCTTGCTCTGTCACCCAGGCTGCAGTGCAGTGGCACGATCTCAGCTCACTGCAAGCTCCGCCTCCTGGGTTCATGCCATTCTCCTGCCTCAGCCTCCCGAGTAGCTGGGACCACAGGCACCCGCCACCACACCTGGCTAATTTTTTTGTATTTTTAGTAGAGACGGGGTTTCACCGTGTTAGCCAGGATGGTCTTGATCTCCTGACCTCGTGATCCACCCGCCTCGGCCCCCCAAAGTTCTGGGATTACAGGCGTGAGCCACCGCACCTGGCCTCATTGCTGCCTTTAAAGAGCCTCTTCCTGGACAGCCTTCTGTGATTTCTCTCTAGGAATGCCTCTAATCCTCCTAAAACACAATTATGTTCCTTTCTTCCTAACACATATTACAGAGGAAATTTTACATTTACTCATATGATGACCTGAATAATGCCCCCACCCCCATATTCTGTTGTAACCTCTGAAGGGACAATATCTTTTTCTACTCACCCTTGTATCTCCAATGTATAAAAATGTGCCTATCATATATTACGTTCTCAATAAATAGATGCCACATGAAATAATAAATGGGAAAATGGTTCCTAATTTCGTATTTTTACTTTCCATCTAAATGACCTCAGATGGATCACTTAACTTCTCTAAGCCTTAGTATTCCCATCTTTAACATAAGAACCACCTGTAGTGCACCTAAAACAATATAGGTGTAGTGTACCTTTAACAATTACCTTCTGTAGTGCACCTAAGACATAGTGTATTGTGTGGCAGTTAGTAAGTGTTCAAAAATACAAGTTATTTTCAGGGATGGGATGATGAAAGATTTTTATTATCCATCTCAATAACCTCATGAATGTTCAAAAATATTCAAAACAAAATAGGTTCATTGTTTGTATTATCTAGATTCATGTGAGACGTTTAAGTCACTGAGAGACAATAAGAATAGGCGATCTCTTTAAGAGAAGTATTGTAAAATCTAGCAAAAGTCCAGATGTAATGATTCTAGTAAGTTTGAAAGCCACAGATTAAAAAGCTATCCCTTTTATGTCTACACTTACAAATAAGTTACTGGGAGACAAAAGTATCATATTTGAAAATATAAAAGTAACCAGACTCTAATTCCCATAACCAAAGTGGCCTGTCTGAGCTGAACTTTGATGCCCTTCAGACTCTAGGGATACAGAATTCCAAAGGGTTTATCATGAGAGAAGTGCTGCCATTTCTCCACATGAGAGGGACTATTATCAGAAAATCATAATTGAAGAGATGGAAGTGATTGCATGCCACTTGAATCTGCACTAGTGGATGGCTGCAGAAGGTGGAGAAGAAACTGTAAGACAGGCCACCTCTCCTTTAAGGGCATAATAATTGTTTTAAAGTGGGAATAGGTAGCAAAAAGCCAAAAGAACAAGACATAAAACGCTTGCCTATTATCTCAGAAAAGAACAAGAAAATATAAAAAAAATTGTTTTTTAAGAAAGAAAAGTGCAGAGGCCTTTATTCTGTATAATATCTCAAAGAGCTAGGATCTTAGTCACTAAAATTTAAAAGTTAATTATATATCATGCACATTTCAGGTTAATTATATTCAAAGTCTGTTAATCAAGATTTTGGTAGTTACTTATTAGAAATATATAAACTAGATATAACTTCAATAATAGAAATAATTTTAGGCATGACTGTGCTTGGAAATACTATTTTTCCCCAAGGGAGCACTTTTCTTGAGTTTTCCCGTTGTATGTTTAGCATTCTCATACTTGTTTATAGTTTTTTAATATCTCCTTCTCCCTAACTAGACTGTGAATTCTTATCTTATTTTGGTAACCCCCAAAGCACCTGAATATGGCAGAAGCACAGCTTTTGTATACATTGACAGATGAGAAATCTTGACATTTTCAATAATATCAGTCACCATAAGTAACATTTGGAAAATTTATTAAATTTAACTTAACAAATGTTGATAGAGGGTTACCTATGTGCACATCTCTGAATTTGTTACTACAGAGGATTAAAAAAAAAATAAACAGATACAGAAAAAGGCATATCTTTTTTTTTTTTTTTTTTTTTTTTGAGACGGAGTCTCGCTCTGTCACCTAGGCTGGAGTGCAGTGGTGTGATCTAGGCTCACTGCAACCTCCTCCTCCCGGGTTCAAGCAATTCTCCTGCCTCAGCCTCCTGTGTAGCTGGGATTATAGACGTGCGCCACCACGCCTGGCTAATTTTTGTATTTTTAGTAGAGATGGGGTTTCACCATGTTGACCAAGATGCTCTTGATCTCTTGACTGATCTCTTGACATTGTGATACATCCGCCTCGGCCATCCAAGGTGCTGGGATTACAGGCATGAGCCACCGCGCCCAGCCAAGGCATGCCTTTTTCTTTCAGTCAACCCACAGTCTAATAGATGAGAACAAATATGACATACACAATTTTTTAAATAAGGTTAGTGCCATTAGAAAAATATCAACAAATTTGTGGATTCAAATTAGGAAACTCTTATAAAGTAGTCTGAATAATGGCCACCCAAAGATAGCAGGCACTAATCCCTGGAATCTGTAAATCGTGCCTTATAAGGGAAAAGGCCCTTTGCAGGTGTGATTAAATTAAATTGGGGAGTTTTTTTTTGGAATAAGTGAGTTCTCAATTCAATCACAAGTGTTATAAGAAAAAAGGTAGAAGGAGATTACACAGGTAGAAGAGAAGGTGATGTGAAGACTAGCAGAGAGAGATTTAAAGATTCTGGTCTTGAAGATGGGGGTAATGCTACCTGCCTGAGACATGGAATGCCAGGAGCCAACAGAAGTTGGAAAAAGCAAAGGAAATTTTTCCACTACAGCCCCCAGAAGACAGGCAGACCAGCCCATAATTTAACTTCTGGCCTCTAGAAACATGAAAGGATAAATTTCTTTTGTTTAAGCCACCAAATGTGTGTTAACTTATTATAGTAGCCACAGGAAACTAACATAACCTTTTAAGAAGCAAGTGAGGGAAATAGTGAACACTTTGCAGAGAGGCACCTTTGAAATGGTATTTGAAAGGGTGATACAGAATCTTCATATGGAAACGGAGGATGAGCGGGGAGAACTGGGAATAGAGGAGAGTGCTGAAGGGGAGTCAGTAATGAACACAACTGAGCCAGTGCTGTTGCATATACATTGTTACAATGAATTCTTGCAAAGTGGTGCTGACAGAGAAGCGGAAATCAAAGACAAATTCTGAACAGCTCTCAATGAAAGAAAGCCATGAGCTATAAGTCTCACATTTAGTGGAACATTTTCTATGTACTGATAGCGTTCAGGGCACTCTACCCTGAAAGATGGCACCGTGGCATACTGAATATTTTAAGCTAAAGGAATTTGAAAAAATGGCAGAAGCAAGAAGGTCTCTCTGACCTTTCCCTGCACTTCTCCCTTGAAGCAGGTCATGAAATTTAGGAAGGATTTTCTGACCTTTCCCTGAAGCAAGTCAGAAGACCCTCTCACATGAGGATGCAAGAGGTGCCCTTCTTATACTGGAAGGGAAAAAACATCCTTATCTCCAAAGATGAAGGGATGCAGAGAGGAATCTGAAGAAACCAGCCTTGCTAACTGACCCTCAGTTTGTTACATTTAGTTCATACCCACGTTGTCCTATCATATTTCTCCATGACTTTCCATTTTACATCAAACCTACGGTTTAAAAAAAGTCTGTTTTAACTGTTTCTTCAGGTCTTTATTTTCTTAGGAAACCTCCCTACAACATAAAATATACATTAAATATATTTATGTGCATTTCTCTTGTTAATCTTTTGTTATAGCAGCCTCAGCCATGAATTTAGAAGGGTAGAGAAGGTAAAAAAATATATTTTAGCAGTTCCCTACAGTGCCAAGCACTAGTCTAAACACATTGCAAGTACTAATTTATAGGAAAATCATAAGAGTCTTGGCTACTAACAGATAAGAAAACTGAGGCATAGAGATGTTAAAAGAAACTCAGCTGGGCGGGTGCGGTGGCTCACGTCTGTAATTCCAGCACTTTGGGAGGCTGAGGCGGGCAGATCACCTGAGGTCGGGAGTTTGATACCAGCCTGACCAACCAGGAGAAACCCCATCTGTACTAAAAATACAAAAAAAAATTAGCCGGGCTTGGTGGTGGATGCCTGTAATCCCAGCTACTCGGGAGGCTGAGGCAGGAGAATCGCTTGAACCCTGGAGGCAGAGGTTGCGGTGAGCCGAGATTGCCCTATTGCACTGCAGCCTGGACAACAAGAGTGAAACTCCATCTCAAAGAAAAAAAAAAAAAAGAAATTCAGTTAAGGTGATGCAGTTATTACATAAGGGAGCTTTTGGTCTCTTCACCACAATCTATCATTGCCTACCCCTGCCAAGAAGCTTAATTTGGTTTTAATTGTGTGGAGGGAAAATGAGGATTACGGTTAAAATTAGTCTGTTTAGAGATGATAATTCTAATTATTTATTGTACTTTCAATCTAACATGTTCTCTATCTATTAGGTCAATTGAAATAAAAATAGCCCAGGATGTGTAACTAAATTATTTTTCTTTACTGTTTTCTTTCCAATAACAGAGGTGGAGGGAGGAGTAGGTGCAAATCATTTATAATTTATTTATAATTGGAGAATGTAAAGTAAATCCATATCAAACATCCTTAACCTCATTTAAGAAAAATTCTCTTCGATGTCATCTTGAACTTTATTTTCTTTGGAGAGTTTATTTTTCCAGCAAATAAACTTGACAAGCAAGTGTGTAATATTTTCTATGGAATTTGCCAACTTCAGAAATTAAATGATCAGTTTTAAAGGGGGCTTTGTTCCTATAATAACATTTTTAGGTATGTTATCAGCAAAGAACTTCCCACAGTGTCGTGGGAAATTCCAGTTTGGAGAGCAGATGATTAAAATAATTGAATCTAAATAAGGCTTGTAAGTTTTGGTTCTTGCTTTTCTGACTCCAAGTATAATTCTACGTATTCTTTCTTTCTCACACATCTGTGATTTGATTTTTTGACTAACAACCATGAATGACGGTCTCAGGCTAATTTTCAGAATTATTTGTGCGATGTATTAAGATAAGAAGATAAGTTAAATGTGGCAGTTCGATGCAGGCCAACATTCACAGGTGTTTAGGCTTCATAATGATCATGGTGGTTCAGAAGCTGGCTCTTACCTTTTCAGGTATAAAAACATTGTCATGCAACATAGAGGTGATAAGTTAATGGAAAACTGACATACGTTACCCAAATGTATAAAACACTGTTGCATAAAGACAATCCCAAATTTTACTCATATAGCTGATTTATGTATTCTTCACCTAATAAGAAACATATATAGTGAAAATGAAGTTATCATCTAAAGATTGCTTTGCAAATCTGGAATCAGGGGATACAAAAGGGCAATTGCATCAAGCTGATAAAAATCAATGCATGAGTCTTTAGTGTGGCAGGCACAGGTGACTGCTAAGCAAACTAGAATACTTCTCATAGACAGGGCCGAAGACACAATAACGAATTCTTACCAAGAAATGCTTCTTTTATATAATCCTTGGAAGATGGCATGACATAGGGTCAAGAACACAGACTTTAGAGTCAAATTCTGCTACTACGGTACGATCTTGACTATAATCTCTAAATTTCAACTTCCTCACCTAAAATGGGTACAATAATACCTTCTTCACAGAGTTTTGAGAATATTAAATTCAACAACAAAACCAGAAATGCTTAGTCTAGTGCCAACATAACAAAGTGGTTTTCTTCCTTTTTTTGCAGAACATTGTTTGTGACAGTGGAATCTGATTGATTCCATTCAGAAGGTAGAGACCCTATTCCCTTATTTTTTCTATTTCCACATCTAAATCAGCCATAGAGTTAAAAATCAGAGTTCACTGTGGAATATTCCATTGATTAGCCTCATATAATAAGTATTATTTCTTAGTAGCTTTTCTTGTAGAAAGCAATTGTCTCTTGGAGATCTTAGAATTCCATACAATAACCTTCAACATAAGGTTATTGTTAAATTGATTAGATAATACTTACCTCTTACTGACTTTTGATTCCCATCTACAATTTCCTCATCTTTGTTCATGTACATAAAGGGCAAACATAAATGACATATATAAACTAAGTATTAAATAATCTATAAAACAATAGGAAAACAAAGAATATAGTTTTAAGCATGCTTACAATTACAGCTATTTTTCCTAAGGAACAGTTAATGGAATCATTTAGTACAGACAAGTGTTAACAAAGCTTTGCCATTTGATGCCATAAATTATGAAATTCAAATATACACCATTTGGAAGTGGAAATACATTTTCTTTGCTTAATTAACTACACTCACTCTTACAAGCTTTTTGAGAAAACGTTAAGAAGAGTAGTTGAGTGTGTGTTTGAAATCTGGACTTTAGGGTCATCTGTGGATCATCTACTTAATGGTATATGTCCTTGACAAGTTACAATACCTCAGAGTCTTAGCTTCTGCGTCAATAAAGTTGAACTATTGGGCTTATTTTGAGGGTGAAATTCTATCATATATAATTTACATAGCATAGCAACTGCCACAGAAATGCTCAATAACCACTCAGTTATTTTTATCAATTGTAGTAATTTGTTAATGTTACGATGTTAGCCCCAAAGCATACACACCTACCTACATATGTACAGATATATGTTCATAAATATACTTTTCAACACAAAAAATATTAAGCCACCACATCACAAATGTGAAAAGACTCTCACATAAATCACTAAGTAAGTACGTAATATTTAGTTTGGCACATAGCTAAAACTACAAAAAATATCCCACCCCACACTCTACCAATGAAGGGGAGGGGGTCAAGAGAATTCATGTCAACATAATTACCAATATGTGTCACCATCCATCAGGATCAACATACAACCCTGTGGCTATTGGCAAGAAAAGCAACACACAAAAGTCAGCTAGTGGCAAAGACATGTCACTTTCTATTATTACTAAGATAACAAAATAGAATATTTCTCTGAGAGTAAAGTACTTTCCCAGTTTAAACTTAGCACCATGTTTCTTATGATTATGAGGCTTTGCACTCTAACAATTTTAAATCAGATACAGTGATTTTGCATCATAAGCAGTAGGTTAACTAAGAAAGCCAAGAGGAAAATTTTCAAATATATGTGTGTATTCCCTCTGGTGCTTTGTCCCCTTCTAAGAGCAAAGTGGAGCCAAATAAAACCCATAAGATGTGAAAAGTGAAAATATGTTATCACCATTTCAAGTTCAAGAACTTAGGCTGTTTTCATAAGAAGACAAACCAGCACGTCAGGATGGAATTCACTGCTGTCTTCTGGAAGATCTGTTAAGCAGATAAACGTTAGTCTAGGACAGCTCTTAAAGACTGTAAAGAGAGTAGTAAAATACACTGGTAACACCATTATATCTTAAATCAAGTTTCACACACTGGAAGTCAATCATTAAGGCAGGCTTTTCTTTTTTGCCTCTTTGATACTGAATTTCCATACTATGTGCCAAAGCATTATTTCCACACTGCATATAACACAATCCAATGAGGCTTACAGGCCAAAATTATTAGCGACATTCACACATGACATTTTAGCAAAGATCTCGCTCATTATGACTTACATATTTTGCTACCTTATTCATTCATCTACAAAGCTCTGTGAGCCTCAACCCTGGATTGAAGCAGTCAGATGACTGTTCTGCCAATGGATCCCAACTATCCTGCCAAGGGTAGAAAAAAATCACACAGGAGAGGAGGTAGTTGCCCCTGCAAAGGCTTGGTATCCAACTCCACCTGGGTCCTTGGTGCAACCTAGCAATTCCCTTTAGGTCCTAGTCAGTGTGCTTTCCCACTACTCTCAGGGGATTTCTCCAAACTTTGTCCTTAAGGTCAAAATCCATTACTACGTTGCCTTCCCTCTCATAGCAAATGGTTTCATTTTCTATATAACAGAAAAGATAAACCATCAAAGGGGGGCTTGCTCCATAGTCTGCATAAACTTACAATTCTTTCTTTCTTCTCTCTCAGCAGAGGAAGAGGCAGCACTACCTGCCCAAGTTTAATCTATTCACCTTTCTTCTCCCATGAGTTTAGGGATTCACTCCATCATGTGTCATCTCTCCCCCCATATCTTTAAAATTTTCTCTTATTTTTATAGTATTATCATGATAATGGGTTCTCAATCGAAAGCCAAAAAAAAAGTCCATCATCTTTCTTGATGCAAAGTTCCTCTGTAGTTATTGCCCAATTATTAGCTGCTTAAAAGGGGTATCTGTACTTTTGGATTCCATTTCCACCCATTCATTGCTCAATACATTGCAATCAGGCTTTGTCACCAGCATTTCTTTCCAATTGCCCTTTATAAAGTCAACAATAACCTCCTTGATGTATTATCTAATGCATTATTCTTAGTCCTTATCTTAATTTCGCTGTGGAATTTTGGATCTTGAACTCTCTTCAGCTTTGGTGATCACTACCATGCTATTTTGCTCTCCTTCTAACCTCCTTGTTCACTTCTTCTCACTCTCTGATGTTATCTCTTTTTATTCTGTTTATCTTTAAATTTTTATTTCCCGTCACCAGTCTGAGGACCTGTACCATCTCATCATCTAGTTTTTATTGCTTTATACAGAAATGACAGTGCAAAATTGTCAACATCCCAGACCTCCTGCCTGAACTCCAAATAGAATGATCTTTTAGACATATCCTCCTTGGTTCCTCAGTGATTTACAGCCAAATCAAAGTCAACATGCTTAACATAGAACATTTTTACTGTTCCTCCTAACAATGCCTTTTCTCTAAATTGCCTACACTGTATCTAACCAATTACTGAAGCCAGAGGCTTGTAAGTCATTCTAGATTTCTCCTTATTCATCCACCACACCCAATCAATCACCAGATCTTACAGATTTACCTACTAAAGGTCTTGGGTTTGTGAATTTCCCACTTATCCCAATTGCCATTGCCTTTTTACTTGGCATATATATGCAACCTTACCTCGGAATTAAAAAGAAGTCCAGGAAAAAAATTAGGAAAGAAAGAAGGGAAGGAAGGAAGGAAGGAAGGAAGGAAGGAAGGAAGGAAGGAAGGAAGGAAGGAAGGAAGGAAAGAAAGAAAGAAAGGCAGGCTAGATATAACTCTCTAATCATCTTCCTTGGTCTGAGTCCTCACCATCTCAAATATGGATTATCTACAGTAGCCTCCTAAATGATTCCTTCCATCCTTATCCTTCCTGTCAAAGATATAGCTCCCAAATATAAATCGGATTATAATACAACCCAGATTACAATCCTTCAATTTATTCCCAATTTAGGATTGTTCAAACTGCTTTAACAATTAGACCCAGCTGTCATGACCCAAGCACTGGTAATGTCATCTTTTACATCTAGTGTTACACTGGCAGCAGTCAGGCTGATCGAGGCTCTGGCATCTTCAACACATGACAGCCAAGCTTATTCAGAATATCGCCATCCAAATGAGACAGAAGATGACCCCCATAGGAGAGGCACCTATCACTGCCACTTTTCATTCCTGGAACTCAGTCGTATGGCTACATCCTGTTCTGAGTGAGGCTGAAATACAGTCAAGCTATGACCCAAGAAGAAAAAAGATTCGGGTTGTGTACTATCAACTTCTGCCTTATTTCCCCATAGATGCAATATAAATTCAAATTTCTTTTGCTAACACACTACATCTGTCTACTCTCTGTCATCTAGCCTCAACTCCTCCACACTAGTCCATGCAACCTGTGTTTTAGATATAACTGGCTTGCTTTCCTTAGCCTTGTCATGTTCCATCGTACCTTCATGGCATCACCTGGGATGTTTCCCTCTGCTTGAGTCACGATTTTCTCTACTCCCCCTTTCTTTCTTTCTTTAGCTAAATCCTTCACTTTCATATTACTTCAGGCCACACTCTACAACACCCAGTTGGATATAGGTGGCCTTCACTTGTGTTCTCACAGCACCCTGCACTAGCACTGAACAAAATGATATAAAGACATAGACATATATGTCCATTTTCTCCATTAACTGTATATCAGTCAATTGTATTCCAATGAATACAATGGAATGTATTTATCAGGGTGATTATGTAAGATAATATTTCTATCAGTACATTCAAAATTATCCCCATGTTTATTCTAAAACTAATTAAATTAGGGCCGTTTTTATAGCAAAAAAAGAATTCAATATTAAAGACAAATTTTCCCTTACTAAACATTTTAGATATTTGTATTTATCAATTAGGTATTTTGGAAATTATGCGCTGACAGTCTCTGTGAAAATGCAGATTCTTGAACTTTACTTTTTACCAGTTTTATAGAAATTAATGACTGAGAGCTCATGTGCTATTGACTGATCAAGTGTATCATAGGCAGCACAAATATATACACATACATACATGCAAGTGTATAGACACTTGTGATCATGAGTATTTTATTTTTATGTCTGCATAAACAAATGAGACAAATCACAAGTTATTTTGGGGAAATGCAATTTGATAGTCCTCATGTATGTACAAAGAAAGCTTGGATTAGAATTTAAATAAAATTTGCTATGTAGACGTTCTTTAGTTTAATTAGATCCCATTTGTCAATTTTAGTTTTTGTTGCAATTACTTTTGGCATTTTTGTCATGAAGTCTTTACTCATGCCTATGTCCTGAATGGTATTACCTAGGTTTTCTTCTAGGGTTTTTATGGTTTTGGGTTTTACATTAAAATCTTTAGTCCATCTCGAGTTAATTTTTGTATAAGGTGTAAGGAGGGGTACAGTTTTAGTTTTCTGCATATGACTAGCTAGTTTTCCCAGCACCATTTACTGAATAGGAGATCCTTTCCCCATTGCTTGTTTTTGTCATGTTTCTCAAAGATCAGATGGTTGTACATGTGTGGTGTTATTTTGGAGGTCTCTGTTCTGCTCCATTGGTCTATATATCTGTTTTGGTACCAGTACCATGCTGCTTTGGTTACTGTAGCCTTGTAGTATAGTTTGAAGTCAGGTAGTGTAATGCTACAGCTTTGTTCTTTCTGCTTAGGATTGTCTTGGCTATACAGGGCCTTCTTTGATTCCATATGAAATTTAAAATCGTTTTTTCTATTTCTGTGAAGAATATCAATGGTAGTTTGATAGGAATAGTATTGAATCTATAAATTACTTTGGGCAGTATGGCCATTTTCACAATATTGATTCTTCTATCCATAAAGATGGGTCAATAGGTGCAGCAAACCACCATGGCACACATATACCTATGTAACAAGCCTGCACGTTCTGCACATGTATCCCATTTTTTTAGAGGAAATTTTTAAAAAAGAATTTAAATAAAATTAATTTAAACATAGTTTTTTTCGTGATTCAATATAAGTCAAAGAAATCTAGGTGAATTTTAAACACCTACCTTTATTAATTTAAGAGTTAATAAGATTTAAATAAAAAGAAATCATTTACTGAGTTTGGGAAAACAAAACACTTTGTTGAAATAATCATATTTTATTAGAAGCATAGTAAAGTATTAAATTCAGATGACCTGAATTCAATTTCCTTCCTTATCATTTACTAAATGTGTGACACTGGGAAAATTAGTTTGCATCCATGATCCTGCACGATTTCAAATACTAAATGGAGATTTAGCTCATGGTTAAGATATCAATGCTATAAACTTTCTTTAAAAAAAATCATTTTAAAAAAGTTAGCTTTTCAATGACATAACAAGCTTTTGTGGCAAGCTAGTGTTGAGTCCTGGACCAGGTTATACTTGAACTTTAGAGGGTCATTCTAGCATTTTACGTGTGAATAAGCTCCCTCTTAACAAAATGAGATCTCTACGTGGGTCATTATATGTGAGTGTGCCTGCAGATTTTCATTTATAGAAATATGCACGCACCCACACACACAAACACATACACACATCCCCTGGCGTGAGGAAGTCAGTGGAGGGAGGGGTTCAGTCTGGCCAGGAAGAGTATTTTATTACTGTTAATGTTTATGATTACCAGCACATAGTGGTAATAAAAGTCACCCTGGCTTTTATTTGTTTTATTATTGTTTTTAATTCTCTAATGACAGCATATCCTGAAATAGCCTGCATCCAGGGTGTACAGATCTCACTGCCCCGACCATTGATTACTCCACTGTAAATATGTGTATTTATTCACCAATAAGCAGCATTATCAAAACACATTTAGAACACTTTTTTCTTTATTTTCTCACACCAAAGCACCACTATAAAAAAAGGTCTCAGTGAGGCAAGGCAGCTATTTACATCAAGCTATCCAAAACTCGACAATATACATCTTATATACCTTCTTTTTTTTTTTTTTTTTTTTTTTTTTTTTTTTTTTTTTAAGACTAGAGTCTTGCTCTTTCACCTAGGCTGGAGTGCAGTGGCGTGATCTTGGCTCACTACAACCTCCGCCTCCCGGATTCAAGCGATTCTCCTGCCTCAGCCTCCCGAGTAACTGGGATTACAGGTGTGTGCCACCATACCCGGCTAATTTTTTGTATTTTTAGTAGAGACGGGGTTTCACTGTGTTAGCCAGGATGGTCTCGATCTCCTGACGTCGTGATCCGCCTGCCTTGTCTGACCAAAGTGCTGGGATTACAGGCGTGAGCCACCGTGCCCAGCCTTATGTACCTTCTAATACTTATCAAAGAAAGTTGTCTGCTGATTAAGGGCTCAGTTTAAAAAATTTAAAAAGAAAAATACACTTGGCAAATAGTACATTCCTGTTAGCTCCCTCCAGCAACACAGGTAGACCCCTGGTATTCTTAATATCATTCTCCCTCTCCATAAAAACTGTGGAAGGCTCTACATGAGAAATGTCTGTTTTTCATTTCTTTTCAGAATTTTGTTTAATGTTTGGATGACAACAAATACTAGTTCTGTTTTCATTGGTCAATTTTGTGTTCTGGCCCGGAAGTGTTGCATGCTTCTCATCATCATAGGCAGTATTTCCTGAGGACCTACTAAGTCTGCTTTCAATGGAAGCAATCAAGAGAGGGCTGAGCTTTCCTGTCTGTTTTGCACATATGCTTCTCTCTCTCTCCTGGGGAGAGGTTAAGGCCCTTGATCTCTATCCTTCCTCAGCAGGATCACCTTTTATCTACTCTGCTTCCCCAGGAGGACAGGGCACTAGAGTGGCTGCCTCCTCTGTTACTGATAAATTAATTAACAACCTGGGAGACTTCAATGATTTGGAAGGATCCTAAAATCCTCTCACTTGATGCTTTCACAAAATAGAATATGTTTATTCATTTTACAAGACCTATATTTTTAGATCAATGACCTTTGGATGTATGATTCATCCTGATTTCATTTTTTCCCAGCGGGTGGAGTTTCACATAAGCCTATTTAAAAACAATAAAGCAAGCAATGTTTTAAATGGAATATAATCTATTCTACACCTGTTTCCTCAGACTATTTTGATAGAAGTGAGTGGTTTCTATGATAAATTATACTTTTACTATGCAATATACGACTAAAATATTTATATATTTCCCATGATTTTTTAATGTCATTTTCAGGGAAATAGCCATACATAAAAAACAAGATATTTTTAGTTGAAATGACAGGATATTTTCTAAGCATAATTTAGCTGAGCAAGAATTTATTTTTTAGAGTTTTTCTCGGTTTTCTTGTCTTCTTATGTAATGAAAAATGCATCTGGATAGAAATAACTCCTCTGGATAAAAATTGTGTAACACAATCTGCTTACATGTTTTTGTCCATTTTGGTCACCAGAATCTTGATTGTAATGATCAAGAGTTTCCAATAGATCTTGATATCTCTATGTAACCATAGAAAATAATATTTACCTAGAGATAAGATCAAGATATAAAGACTGTCTCTTGAGGAGGACTGCATTTGCAATCTAGAAAGATAATTATAAAGTTTACTATAAATATTTTCTAATGATACACTATGACCATATTTCCCCCTTTGTTCTCATTCAGTGTCCTCTTACATTACTTTATGTATAAAAAGGAAACAATCCTTTCCTACCATCTCCACTTTGTAACTGGAATATTCGCTTGTTTCTCCCATCAGTGGATGAAATTTCCAATCAGGTACCATAAATTTCAGAATCGCTCTGGGATTGAGTGACCGTATAAATTATCATCCAAATCATCTCATTGTTGAAAGTGAAAGGATGGCTATTTATTATCTACACAAGGGCATCAGGTGAAATCAAAGATGGCCTATGCAAATCAGGGTATATAGTCACATTATTTTTAGATTATCTAAAAGTCCAATCTAGTTTTATCCACCACAATAACAAGCCTTCAGCTCTTGTCCAATTACTCTTCTCTCCAGCACCAATTCAAACCTGCTGCAAGACTGAAAGCCTACACAAAAAAAGGGGGCAAAGTGGGCTTTTTCTTCCTTGCCTTACCTCCTTCCCTACTTATGTGACAGTGCTTTGGTATATTCCCACATGGTATGTAGAAAATAAGAAAGATAAGAGAGAAACATGTCTCACCTGATGGATACAGTTGTCAAGTGGTATTGGCCATTAGACATGTTGTCCAAAGCAGACTCTCAGATTCCACACCGAGGACATAAGAATGCACTTCTAGTGTGGCAGGCCACGCCTCTCCTCTATAAGGGCATTTATGTTTCTCCATTCAACACTTGAACTTCTGGGGATTCTTTCCTCTGTGATATTTATCACATCTCCAGATAGTCCTCTCAGGTAGAGTCCCTGTCCAAACAACCCCAGGCTACCTCTCTTCCATAAAGCCCACAACTGGTCCATGGCAAAGACCCATGCCATGAATACAAGTGTGGCTTGCTCTCCGTACCACATCCCCTTGATCTTTCTGCTACAGACAGCCTCCTACCTTAGATTTCTCCTAGCAAGAATAGCCTCAGCCTGGAACTCCCCAGCCTTACGGAACACATGCTAAACCCTCTAAGGAATGTTCCTGAAGCCTCTCTTTTTCACTTGGTACAGGTGAGAGTGAAGCTCTCCACCATCTTCCTCTATGGGGAAGGGTGGTGGTGAGTCAGGGAATGTCAAAGGCACATCAGCACCTCACTCCGAAATGATCCCCACCAAAATCACTGGCCTTTTTAGCTCTCTCATGAAGGTTGGAGGTGAGTGATTGGCTAATGAAGATTTGCTTTTACTGTTTTGTAGTCTGTCTTGTATCAGTGAACCAGAACCTTGCTTTGTGCTGTGGAAGTGCTTGCCATTGATTGTTTACTTATTCTTGGCTTTTAGGGTCTCTGGAAAAACACCCAAGAATCAGGAACAAGCTTATTAAACATTGTGTTACCCATGAAAATGAAATGTGTAAATTAATGTACATATAGTGTCCAGTTCAATTACTGGCATATGGTAGGTGCCCAACAAATGATACCTTAAAACACAAAAATGGCCAGGCATGGTCACTCACACCTGTAATCCCAGCACTTTGGGAGGCTGAGGTGGGTGGATCACCTGAGGTCAGGAGTTCAAGACAAGCCTGCCCAACATGGTGAAACCCTGTTACTACTAAAAATACAAAAATTAGTCGGGCATGTTGGTGGATGCCTTTAATCCCAGCTACTCGGGAGGCTGAGGTGGGAGAATCACTTGACCCCAGGAGGAGGGGGTTGCAGTGAGCCGAGATCAAGCCATTGCACTCCAGCCAGGGCGACTGAGTGAAACTCTGTCTCAAAAAAGAAAAAAAAAACGACACCACAAAAATGAAGAGCCACTAAGGGACTCAGTGATCTGGCAACTTTAAATCTAATTTTCTAGGCTCCAAATTGCTCATCTCATGACCACTGCTCTAAGGTAACTACTTCCAGCTTCAGAACTC
This sequence comes from Homo sapiens, assembly GCF_000001405.40. Taxonomy (NCBI): domain Eukaryota; kingdom Metazoa; phylum Chordata; class Mammalia; order Primates; family Hominidae; genus Homo; species Homo sapiens. The sequence continues at coordinate 155,471,130 of NC_000004.12, read as the reverse complement.
TTAGTATGGAGTTTAAGGAGTTGTTTATGTTTTGTGCAAAGGGCAGTCTCTAAGTAATTTCTCTTTATCCAGTGATTTATGTGGAAATTATATTCTGAAAATATCAGGTTAGGTAATATTGTACTACTCCTGATCCCTACTGAATCCTTTTTATATGTGTGTTCTCTGAAAGCAATGTTTTATCAATAGCAGTAGTTTTGAACTTTGAGACTCAGAGTGTTTTGTGAGAAGTTAATGAAAGTTATAAACCTTTTCAGTGGAAAATGCACATTCACACACACATATTTTGACTATAATTTCAAGAGGTCCTGTGTTTCTTGAAGCCCAATATTTGGAGAGCCTGGGTTGCAGGCTTCCCAGGTTCCCAAGAACAGAGTCTCTGCATTGAGATGGTGTGAGAGGAGAGGATGGAGGTGTTTATGATTATTCCACAGCCTTTTGGAGGGAAGATAATTTTTTTGCCTGGAATCCAAACCTAACAATAATTCCCCCTTGAGTAAGCATATGCTCTCTTTGAAACTGTTGCTTGTCTTGTTAAAACCATTGTCTGATCTTTCCTTCTTCCCTTCTTCCTGGCCACTACTACTGCCATTATTATCACCCTGCTTCATTTTATGCAAAGTCTAGAAGCATAAAGGGAGTCCTGGTGTTTATTCACTTCTTGCCTAATGATTTCACTTCAGCAAGACATCAACATATATGTACACATGATTGATTTCCCCTCAGTAACTTACCGTTTTCTTCAATATCATCAACGTCCATCCAAGCAGAGATATTGCAATGTCCATAGATATTTATCCTATTGGCTCATAAAGAGCTGTAAACACCAACATGTGGAGCTGCAAAGCAGCTCATTTTACCTAAATGATTGCATTAAGGAAGATTGATAGCCACAAAGAAGAGGTGGACATGGGCGGGGCTAGAGAGGGAAGAAACACATGCCATGGTTTTTTAGGCTAAATACTGCGAGTGGTATTCATATGTGTCTCTGCTGTAGCAATGGTGATACTTAAGTCGTTGTTCCCCCTCCTTTTGGGACCTGTTTGGGACTGCTATAATAGCTTTCAAACAGTGAATAAAAATATTACAGACCATCAAACTTTCCTTAGAGGACTTCTTTTTTATGTCAAAGACCTTCAGTGAATGTGTTGTCTTGCTTTTCTGAAGAAAATAGTTTTACAGATGGAATGATATCCTCTTACAATTGTGTCCTGAGTAGAGTACAGCTCTATACATGTATATGTATATATTTCTATCCTCTGGCTTTTAATATCTTCTGACCAACTTTAGGGCAAAGACAGTAGTGAGAATATTGGTAGGGCTAGACCTTGGTAAATTATAAAATAAATGCACTGAATTCAGTCTTGTTTACTTTTCCTGCTCCAAGATACCTCTTCTAACTAAGCCTTGATATAGCCAAAGTATTAAGATAATTCCCCAAAACACGAACTAAAAAGCTAACCAAGCAGTCTGACAAGCTTGATTCCTAGCCATGGGGGCCTCTGAATTTTATTAGACTGTCAGCTCCTTGAGAGCAGAGACCATGTCTTTAAAAAAAAATCTATATTTGATCTGTAGTGCCTATGACAGTAATTATCCCAAAGTAAGTAGACAATAAGTACTTGAATGAATGAAAAAGGATAAAAATTTTATAATTCATTTTAATGTTGTATTTATCTTCAAGTTTATTGACGTGTTTAAGAGTTCTGAAGACCCTAAACAATAATTCCACTGATTGAAATAGCATAGTCTTGGATACAACCACCCAATAGGCTGGATGCATCATTTTCTGGTCCTTGTAGAAATTACACACCTTCAGGCTGGGCGTGGTGGCTCACACCTGTAATTCCAGCACTTTGGGAGGCCGAGGCAGGTGGATTGCTTGAGCTCAGGAGTTCGAGCCCAGCCTGGGCAACATGGTGAAACCCCATCTCTACCAAAAATACAAAAAATTGGCCAGGCATGGTGCCATGTGCCTGTAGTCCCAGCTACTCAGGAGGCTGAGGTAGGAGGATCACTTGAGCCTGGGAGGTGGAGGTTGTAGTGAGCCAGGGTTGAGCCACTACTGCACTCCAGCCTGGGTGACAAAGTAAGACTTTTTCTCCAAAAAAAAGGGAAATGAAACTATACACCTTCATTAATATTAAATATAGACATACATAATTATTGATGAAGAAAGACAGAGAAGCATAAATAACTGGTACTCAAAGCATCTCTATAACTCTAACTTTAGTGAAAACTCTGAGGGAGACTGCCTTATAAAACGGTACATTTGTCATCTGGATAACTGATCCTTCTGCAATGGGGTCCAGATGCAATAGCCTTATACTGAACTCCACTAATGGGAAAAAGTGTTACTGCCCCATTTCAATGTATGAGAAACCCACCAGAGATATCTGAGCTCTGAAGAGAGAATTTCTGTAGAGAACAGAGTGAGCCTCTTGATCACTAAAAATAACCAAGGATATTTATCAAAAAAAAATTTTTGGCCATATAAGTAGTATAAATAATCTCAGAGAAAATGTGTTGGTCTTCATCCTAAGATAATATTGAGTTTCTATGGGTATTTATGTGTTGGCAAAGGAAGGTAGGAGGAGTGCCAGTTTTTTTTATATACTTGTGCCCACAATAGCACCAAGTGATTTATCAGATGCAGTATAATAATAAGATCACTTGACTACCTGAAGGTGCAGGGATGCTTTTTTTCAGCTATTCAAAATAACTGGTTTTTGAGAACATACGGTGAAACACTGGCAATTTTCCAGTATACACACTGCATACTCACACATGCACACACATGCCCACAAGACATTGGGATTTTTAATTTTCAAAGTAAACTTATCTTCTGAGTTAAATTATTTGATAGTCAATACCAATAAAACCAAAAGTTTGAATGTCAAATGTGCACATCATTTAGTGTTGCATCCTCAACATTTGCCTAATGGTTACACTCAGTCACATGTGTACAGAGCTTTTACTATGGTCATATAAACACTGGGAGATAAATTTCTGAGTTTGTTTCTAGTCATAGCATTAGATGCATTCTAATTTTTCTCACTTTTCGAATTTACTTTATGATCAATTACATGACTGTGAGAATTTGCTCCAGGTTAGAAATCCAATTTGTGACCATAAGACAACAAAATTGGTTTGTATAGAAAGAAATCTTTAGCTGAAGTGATTATCCCTATTTTAACTAAATGAGTTTATTTTCAACATACTATTCTCAATGATAAAAATTGCATAATTTTTCAAGAATAATGCATATGCTTTATGTGATATAGCTTCTGCAGAGGATTTGTATTTTAGTCTTTATTGTGTCATGGAAGAAAAATAAGAAAGGAAATGGAAAACTTAAGAGTCAAGGTATCCTAGCACTTTGGGAGGCCAAGGCGGGAAGCTCACAAGGTCAGGAGATCGAGACCATCCTGGCTGACATGGTGAAACCCCATCTCTACTAAAAATACAAAAAATTAGCCAGGTGTGGTGGCACGTATCTGTACTACCCCAGCTACTCGGGAGGCTGAAGCAGGAGAATCATTTGAACCCAGGAGGCGGAGGTTGCAGTGAGCCAAGATTGCACCACTGCATTCTGGCCTGGGTGACAGAGCGAGACTCTGTCTCAAAAAAAAAAAAAAAAAAGAGTCAAGGTAAAAGTTGTATAAGTTAATCAAACATGTGAACTCACAGTGACCCCCACAGCTTGCACAGTTTGCAGGCCTGAACATATATAGATACACATGAATATGTTGAGCAACTTTACCCTCTTCACAATCTGGGGTACCTCTTCTGTTTCTATATTTGATCAGCAAAGGTCATCCTGTACTTACTCATCATTTCAAGTTAACAGTAGCTCTGGAATTTATGCTGTACTGCAGTAATTGTGTGTAATTCTACCCACAAGGAATCATGTGAAAGAAGAAGTCATTTAATTGCAATGAGATTAAGGTCAACACCATTATAAAGTCAGAAAGCAATAATGAAATTTTAAAACTAAAGCTATTTCAAGACATATGGTACAAAAGGAAGAGGCAGTGGGTCAGTGAAACTGGGTTCCCATTGAGATGTGCCAACTTCGTCATGTGACTTTACAGGAAACACATAGCCTTTCTGGATTGCAGTTCCTATATTTACAAAACAAATGAGGTGGAGTGGGTATCTGCTGAGTCTCTTTCCGGTTCTAGCTTTTCTGTTCTCATTCTGGAAGCTACAAGAAGGACAGGCAAATCGGGTATTTATCACAGATCATTGGCCTTCCTGAGGTTTAGTTCAAGGCAAAAGGGCTTCCTCTCACAGTCATTTTATGCTTCAGCAGAAAATGCAGAAAAAATGCTTCAGATAAGTATGAAAATCTTCATTAATAAAATCTACTTCTCTCATATTCTTAGTCATAATGCTTGAGAGACCTACCAAATCCTCTGCTTTGGTTCAAAAAAAGGAAAGAAGGCCGTGAAATACAAGCGTTACCTGGGACAATAGACATACTAGATCAATGTTTCTTACAAGCTTTGATTAATTTTTGACAATTTTACACTCTTAAAAATTACTATGTATCTACACAAAAACCTGCACATGGATGTTTTTAGTAGCTTCATTTATAATTTTTGCGAAAACATCAGAGCAACCAAGATGTCTTTTAGTAGATAAACAGATAAACAATCTGGCCTTTTCATTAGCTCTTAGTAGGATTACACATGCAAGCATCCCCACCCCAGTGAAAATGCCCTCTGGATCACCGGCTCAAAAGGAGCAGGTATCAAACATGCATGAATGCAGCTCAAAACACTTTGCTCAACCATATCCCCAAGGGAAACAGCAGTGATAAATCCTTAGTAATAAATGAAAGTTTGACCAAGCCATACTAATATTTAGGGTTGGTTAATTTTGTGCCAGCCACTGCGGCCATAAGATTAACTCGAGCTAATAGAACTTGGCGTAAAGAGTGTTTAAGGTCTACCCTCAATAAAACTAAGCTCCATCTAAGCTGTAAAAAACTCCAGCTGACATAAAATATACTATGAAAGTGACTTTAATATCCTGAAGACACAATAGCTAAAATCCAAACTTGGATTAGATACACCACTATGCTTAGCCCTAAACTCTAATAGTTATATTAACAAAACCATTCACCAGAGTACCACAAGCAACAGCTTAAAACTCAAAGGACTTGGCGGTGCTTTATATCCCTCTAAAGGAGCTTGTTCTATAATCAATAAACCCTGGTGCTCCTCACCACCTCTTGCCCCCAGCCTATATACCGCCATCTTCAGCAAACCCTAAAAAGGTCACAAAGTAAGCACAAGTACACACATAAAAACATTAGGTCAAGGTGTAGCCCATGAGGTGGCACGAAATGGGCTACATTTTCTATGTCCAGAAAATCTCACAACATCCTTTAGGAAATCTAAGGGCTCAAGGAGGATTTAGCAGTAAACCAAGAGCAGAGTGCTTGGTTGAATAAGGCCATGAAGCATGCACACACCACCCGTGACCCTCCTCAAATATTACTCTAGAAATCACTATTACTAATAGTTTTCTATGCACATATAGAGGAGATAAGTTGCAACATGGTAAGCATACTGGGAAGTGCGCTTGGACAAACCAAAGTGTAGCTTAAACCAAAGCATCCAGCTTACACCTGGAAGATTTCATTGTGACCTGATCACTTTGAGCCAACTCTAGCCCCAAACCTCGCTAAAAATACTATTAAACTATCTTAATCAAACGATTTACCTTAGAAAAAAGTTTAGGCAACAGAAATTTTTACCCTGGCGCAATAGGCATAGTACCATAAGGGAAAGATGAAAGAACTATATCAAGCACTAAAAAGCAAAGACAAGCCCTTATACTTTCTGCATAATGTATTAACTAGAAATACTTTACACAGAGAACTATAGCCAAGTCCCCCAAAACCAGATGAGCTACCCAAGAATAGCTGAAAGAGCACACTCACCTACATGGCAAAATAGTGGGAAGATTCATGAGTAGCGGTGACAAGCCTACCAAGCCTGGTGATAGCTGGTTGTCCAAGATAGAATCTTAGTTCAACTTTAAACTTACCCACAGAATTACTTAATTTCCCAGTAAGTTTAACTGTCAGTCTAAAGAGGGACAGCTCTTTAGACCCTAGGAAACAACCTTCCTACAGAGAGTAAAAAATATTACCACCATAGTTGGCCCAAAAGCAACCACCAATTAAGAAAGCATTTAAGCTCAACATCTAACTATCTTAAATTCTAATCACTCTACTGAACTCCTAACATCACATTGGACTAATCTATTATTTAATAGAAGCAATAATGTCAATATAAGTAACATGAAGACATTCTCCATTGCATAAGCTTACATCAGGCCAGAATAACCCACTGACAGTTAACAGCCTAATATTAATAAACGATATAATAAGCACCCTATTATTTACACTGTTAACTCAACAAAGGCATGCTCTAAGGAAAGTTTACAAAAAGTAAAAGGAACTCAGCAAATCTTACCCTGCCTGTTTACCAAAAACATCACCTCTAGCATTACCAGTATTAGAGGCACTGCCTACCCAGTGACATATGTTCAACTGCCACGGTATCCTGACCGTGCAAAGGTAGCATAATCACTTGTTCCCTAAATAGGGACTTGTACGAATTGCTACACGAGGGTTCAGCTGTCTCTTACTTTTAATCAGTGAAATTGACCTATCTGTGAAGAGGTGGATATAAAAAAATAAGACGAGAAGACCCTATGGAGCTTTAATTCATTAATACAAATAAAAACTCAAACAAGCCAACAGGCCCTAGCCTACTATCCCTGCATTAAAAATGTTGTTTGGGGTGACCCCGGAGCATACTTCAACCTCCAAACAACGTAAACTAAGACCTCACTAGTCTAAGCGAGTTAACATACATTGATTCAATTAATTTGATGAACGGAATAAGTTATCCTAGGGATAACAGCACAATCCTATTCTAGAGTCCATATCAACAATAAGGTTTACGACCTCGATGTTGGATCAGGACATCCTAATGGTGTAGCTGCTATTAAGGGTTCGTTTGTTCAATGATTAAAGTCCTACCTGATCTGAGGTCAGACTGGAGTAATCCAGTTTGGTTTCTATCTATTTAACATTTCTCCTAGTACAAAAGGACAAAATAGGGCCCACTTCATAAAGCACCCTCGCCTCATAAATGATGCTATCTCAATCTAACAAACCATCACACACCCTACCCAGGAACAGGGTTTGTTAAGATGGCAGAGCCTGGTAATTGCATAAAACTTAAAATTTTATAATCAGAGGTTCAACTCCTCTTCTTAACAATATGGCTATAATTAACCTTCTCCTACTTATTATCCCCACTCTTATTGCTATAGCATTCCTTACACTCATCGAATGAAAAATCTTAGGCTATACACAACTATGCAAAGGACCCAAAATTGTAGGTCCCTATGGGCTGCTTCAGCCATTCGCTGATGGAATAAAACTTTTCACCAAAGAACCCTTATGGCCCTCAACATCCACTATTACCCTTTATGTTACTGCTTCAACACTAGCCCTTTCCATTGCTCTCCTTTTATGAACTCCCCTGCCTATACCAGATCGTCTAATTAATTTTAATATAGGCCTCCTATTTATACTAGCAACATCAAGCCAGGCTGTCTACTCTATGATCAGAATGAGCATCTAATTCAAAATATGCACTGATCAGTGCATTACCAGCTGTGGCCCAGACAATTTCATATAAGGTCACCCTAGCCATTATCCTGCTATCAGTTCTACTGATAAGCAGCTCATTTAACTTATACACACTCATCACAATGCAAGAATTCCTCTGACTGCTCCTACCGTCATGGCCCCTAGCCATAATATGATTCATCTCCACACTAGCAGAAACTAACCGAGCACCTTTTGATCTAGCAGAAGGAGAGTCAGAGTTAGTCTCAGCCTTCAACATCGAATACGCCACAGGTCATTTGCCCTCTTCTTTATAGCAGAATATATGAATATTATCATAATAAATGCCTTAACTACTACTATTTTCCTAGGAGCACTACACACTATATATTCACCAGAACTCTACACCACAAATTTCATTACCAAGACCCTTCTTTTAACCACTCTATTTTTATGAATTCGAATGGCATACCCTCGATTCCACTATGACCAACTCATACATCTTTTATGAAAAAACTTCCTACCACTTACGCTAGCATTTTGCATATGATATATCTCAATGCTTGTCCTAATTTCCAGCATCCCACCCCAAACATAGGAAATATGTCAGACAAAAGAATTACTTTGATAGAGTAAACAATAGAGGTTAAAATCCTCTAATTTCTAGTACTATAGGAATTTAACCTACCCCTGAGAATCCAAAATTCTCTGTGCTACCTATCACACCACGTCCTAGATTAAGGTCAGCTAAATAAGCTATTGGGCCCATACACCAAAAATGTTGGTTATATCCTTCCTATACTAATTAATCCCTTACCTCAACTTATTTTTGCCCTCACCATTTTCACAGGAACTTTTATCACAATGCTAGGCTCACACTGATTTCTCATCTGAACAGGGCTAGAAATAAACATACTAGCCCTTACCCCAATCTTAATTAAAAAAATAAATCCCCGCTCTACAGAAGCAGCCACCAAATATTTCCTTACACAAGCAACCACATCTATAATTCTCATAACAGATATCCTTCCCAATAACCTGTTCTCCGGACAATGAACAATAATACACTATCAATCAATTTTTATCCTTAATAATAATAGTGGCCCTAGTAATAAAACTAGGAATAGCCCCCTTTCACTTCTGAGTCTCAGAGGTAATTCAGGGAATCTCTTTGATGTCTGGTATACTTCTCCTCACATGACAAAAACTAGCTCCTATCTCAACTGTGTTTCAAACTTTTCATCAACAAACACGAACATCCTCCTGTCACAATCCTATCCATTATAGTGGGTGGTTGAGGGGGACTTAATCAAACAACTGTGTAAAATCCTAGCCTACTCCTCAGTCACTCACATAGGTTGAACAACAGCAGTACTAATTTATAATCCAAACATTACCACCCTAAACCTGATTATTTACTTTATCCTAACAACAACCGCATTTCTAGCACTCAGCCAGAGTATAAGCACCAGAACCCTATCACTATCTCACACCTGAAACAAATGAGCATGGTTGACACCTGTAATTCCACTAATTCTACTATCCTTAGGAGGTTTATCCCCATTAACAGGGTTCCTTTCTAAATGAATCATCATTCAAGAATTTACAAAAAACAATAGCCTTATTAACCCAATCATTATAGCTATCATAACCTACTCAACCTGTACTTTTATATATGCCTAGTCTATTCCTTATCAGTAACACTATTCCCCACATCTAGCAATATGAAAATAAAATGACAATTTGAAAACACAAAACCCACACTACTCTTCCCCCCACTTGTCATCTCTTCTACCCTCCTCTTACCCATCTCTCCATTAATACTAACTATAACTTAGAAATTTAGGTTAAATAAGACCAAGAACCTTCAAAGCCCTTAGTAAGTAAGTTACTCTTAATTTCTGTAACAGATCTAAACACTGCAAGACTCTATACTGCATCAATTGAACGCAAATCAACCGCTGTAATTAAGCTAAGCCCTTATGAGATTGGTGGAATTCAAACCACGAATAAAATTTAGTTAACAGCTAAACACCCTAATCAACTGGCTTCAATCTACTCCCGCCGCCATTGGGGGAGAAAGGCAGAGAAGCCCCAGCAGGATTGAAGCTGCTCCTTTGAATTTTCAGTTCAACATGAGAAATCACCTCAGGGCTGCTAAAAAGAGGCCTTGACCTCTGTCTTTAGATTTACAGTCTAATGCTTATTCAGCCACTTTACCTTTCCCCCACTTATGTTCATCAATCGTTGATTGTTTTCAACTAACCACAAAGATATCGGAACACTATACCTGCTATGGCGCCTGAACCGGGATAGTAGGCACGGCCTTAAGCCTTCTAATTCGAGCAGAACTAGGTCAACCAGGAACTCTGTTAGGAGATGATCAGATCTACAATGTTATTGTTACCGCCCACGCATTTCGTTATAATTTTCTTTATGGTAACACCGATCATGATAGGGGTTTTTGGCAACTGGCTAGTCCCTCCGACTATTGGTTGACTCGACATGGCATTCCCCTGAATAAATAATATCAGCTTCTGGCTTTTCCCCCTAACTTTTCTACTCCTACTTGAGTCTTCAATAGTAGAAGCCAGTGCTGGAACCACCTGGACAGTTTGTCCCCCTTTAGCAGGAAACCTAGCACATGCAGAAGCCTCTGTGGCTCTGACCATCTTCTCGTTCCACTTAGCAGGTGTTTTTTTCTATTTTAGGGGCCATTAATTTTATTATTAATTATTAACATAAAACCCCCAACCATATCCCAGTATCAAACACCGCTTTTCGTCTGATCAGTCCTCATTATGGCAGTCCTTCTACTCCTTTCCCTCCCAGTCCTAGCCGCCGGCATTGCTATGCTATTAACTGACCATAACCTCAACACTACTTCTTTTGACCCTGCTTGTGGGGTGACCCCATCTTGTTCCAACATTTATTCTGATTCTTTGGTCGCCCTGAAGTCTGCATCCTTATCCTACCAGGCTTCAGGATAATCTCCCACATCGCAACATATTATTCTGGAAAAAAGGAACCATTTGTGTACATGGGCATAGTATGAGCCATGATATCAATTGGCATCTTTGGATTTATCGTATGGGCTCACCATATATTTACAGTAGGAACAGACATAGACACACTAGCATACTTCACCTCCGCTGCCATAATAATTGCCATCCCTACTGGCATCAAGGTCTTTAGCTGATTAGCTACCCTGCACTGTGGTAACATCAGATGATCTCCCGCAATATTCTGAGCCCTAGGATTCATTTTCCTTTTCAGAGTGGGAGGTTTAACCGATATTGTACTAGCTAATTCATCACTAGATATTGTCTTACACAACACATACTATGTTGTAGCCCATTTCCACTACCTTCTATCAATAGGAGCAATATTTGCCATTACAGGAGGCTTTGCCACTGATTCCCCCTATTTTCAGGTTATACATTTAATCAGACCTATGCTAAAATCCACTTCACCATTATATTCATAGGTGTTAACTTAACCTTTTTTCCACAGCACTTCCTCAGCCTATCGGGTATGCCTCGACGTTACTCCAATTACTCTGATGTGTACGCCACATGAAATATTATCTCATCCGTAGGCTCATTTATCTCACTAACAGCTGTTATACTAATAATCATTATGATCTGAGAGGCCTTTGCTTCAAAATGAAAAGTACAATTGTGCAATCACCTACTAATTTAGAGTGACTTTACAGCTGTCCACCACCTTACCACACATTTGAAGAGCCAACCTGTGTGAAAACCTAAATGAGAAAGGAAGGAATCAAAACTCCAGAAACTGGTTTCAAGCCAGTCAGATAACCCCACGACTCTCTCGATAAGATATTAGTAAAATTATTCCATAACTTTGTCAAAGTTAGTTTATAGGTTAAATCCTATATGTCTTAATGGCTCATGCAGTTCAATTAGGACTTCAAGACACTACATTCCTTATTATGGAAGAACTACTCACTTTCCATGACCACACTCTTATAATTATTTTCCTAATTAGTCCCCTAGTCCTATACATTATTTCCCTAATATTCACAACAAAATTAACTCATACTAGCACCATAGATGCCCAAGAAATCCAGACTGTGTGAACTATTTTACTTGCCATTATCTTAATTTTAATTGCCCTCCCATCCCTACGTATTCTGTAAATAACAGATGAAATTAACAACCCTGCTCTTACAGTCAAAGCAATTGGCCACCATTGGCCACCAATAATATTGAAACTATGAATGTACAGACTATGAAGAATTAGGCTTCGATTCTTATATAATTCCAACAGCAGACTTAAAGCCAGGAGAACTTCAACTCCTCAGAGTTGATAACCAAACTATTCTCCCAATAGATATCCCCATCCATATATTAATCTCATCTGAAGACATCCTGCACTCATGAACTATCCCCTCATTGGGGCTGAAAACAGATGCAATCCCTGGATGCCTAAATCAAACCACCCTAACTGCTACATGACCAGGCCTTTACTATGGACAGTGCTCAGAAATCTGTGGGTCCAACCACAGTGTTATACCTATTGTCCTAGGATTAACCCCCTTAAAATGCTTCGAAACCTGATCCATGTCCACACTATAATATCACTGTAAAACTATCTAGCATTAAACTTTTAAGTTAAAGACTGAGCGGATCTACACCTCTCTGCAGTGAATGCCTCAACTAGATACTTCCACATAATCCGTTGTCATTCTGTCAATAACCATAACTTTATTCTCCATTATTCAGTTAAAATTATTAAATTTCATTATACATCCCCTATACCAAAAATAATCAAAATGCAAAAACATAAAGCTCCCTGAGAATTAAAATGAAAGAAAATCTATTTACCCCTTTTACTACCCCGACAATTCTAGGCCTACCCGCAGTAGTATTAATCATTTTATTTCCCACCAAACTACTTCCAACCTCCAGTCATCTAATTAGTAACCAACTGATTTCCATTCAACGGTGACTAATTCAACTTGTACTAAAACAAATAATATTACCCATAACATTAAAGGACAAACCTGATCCCTTATACTGATCTTCCTAATTCTCTTCATTGCCTCAACCAATCTCCTTGGGCCTCTACCCCATTAATTTACACCAACTACCCAATTATCAATAAATCTAGGTATAGCAATCCCCTTATGAGCAGGTGCAGTAATTATAGGCTTCTGCTTTAAGACTAAAACCTCTTTAGCTCACTTTTTACCACAAGGCACACCTATACCATTTATCTCTATGCTAGTGATCATTGAAACTATTAGCCTATTCATTCAACCAATGGCATTAGCTGTGCGATTAACAGCCAGCCTTACAGCCAGACACCTACTAATGCATTTATATCAGAGGAGCCACACTAGTACTATCGACTATCAGTCTTCCCACAGCTTCAATGGCCTTCTTTATTCTAATCCTACTGAGCATCCTTGAATTCGCCGTAGCCCTTATTCAGGCCTATGTCTTTGCACTACTTGTAAGCCTTTACCTATACGACAACACGTAATGTCCCACCAAACACGTGCCTACCATATAGTCAAACCCAGCCCCTGACCACTAACAGGAGCTCTCTCAGCTCTCCTAATAACATCTGGCCTGGCCATGTGATTTCACTTTAACTCTATCACCCTTTTAACCCTAGGCCTACTAACCAACACACTATATATACCAGTGATGACGTGACATTATCCAAGAAAGTACATTTCAAGGCCCCCACACATCAATCATCCAAAAAGGCCTCCGATATAGCGTAATTCTATTCGTTATCTCAGAAGTATTCTTTTTTGCTGGTTTCTTCTGGGCATTCTACCACTCTAGCCTAGCCCCAACTCCAGAGCTAGGGGGACATTGACACCCAACAGGCATTTTTCCCCTCAACCCCTTAGAAGTCCCTCTCCTGAATACACCTGTATTACTTGCATCAGGAGTTTCAACTACCTGGGCTCACCACAGCCTGATAGAAAGTAGTAGAAAGCAGATACTTCAAGCACTATCCATCACAATTACCTTAGGAATTTGTTTGACCCTTCTACTAGTCTTAGAATATTTCGAGGCCCCGTTTACTATCTTTGATGGAATCTACAGCTCAACATCCTTCATAGCCACAGGCTTTCACGGACTTCATGTTATTATTGGATCAACATTTCTCACTATCTGCCTCCTCCGCTAATTAAAATTCCACTTTACATCCAACCACCACTTTGGCTTTGAAGCTGCCGCCTGATATGGACACTTCATAGATGTAGTATGACTATTCTTATACGTCTCTATCTACTGATGAGGATCCTACTCTTTTAGTATAAGCAGTACCATTGACTTCTAATCAATTAGTTTTGATATTATCCGAAAGAGAGTAATCAACTTGACATTAGCCCTAGTAACCAACACCTTACTGGCCCTATTACTACTAATAAAAGCAGTTTGGCTCCCACAACTTAATATTTATACAGAAAAATCCAACTCCTATGAATGTGGATTTCACCCAATAACCTCTGCCCACCTCCCCTTTTCCATAATATTCTTCTTAGGAGCCATCACATTCCTCCTCTTCGACTTAGAGATTGCTGTACTACTACCCCTGCCATGAGCCCTTCAAACAACCAACCTGACACTAATAATCAGCACAGCCCTTGTATTAGTTACCATTTCAATCCTAGGCTTGACTTATGAACGAGCCCCAAAAGTGTTAGACTGAGTTGAATTGGTAAATAGTTTAAGTCAAAATAAATGATTTTGACTCATTAGATTATGATAGACCACATTTACCAAATGACCTCTATTAATATTATTATTATATTAGCATACACCATATCACTGCTAGGAGTATTACTCTATCAATCCCACCTAATATCATCCCTATTATGCCTAGAAGGCATCAATCAATATATATCATAAATACTCTTATAACTTTAAATATACATTTCACCCTAGCATCCATAATACCCATTATCCTCTTAGTATTTGCTGCCTGAGAAGCCGCAGTGGGCCTTGCCTTACTAGTTTCAATCTCCAGTACATATGGCCTAGATTACATACAAAATCTAAGTTTACTTCAATGCTAAAAATTATTACTCCAACAATTATACTGTTACCAATGATATGATTCTCTAAAAATTATATAATCTGAATCAACATGGTTATCCACAGCCTGCTCATCAGCCTTATCAGCCTACTATTTTTTAACCAATTGAACGATAACTCATCCAACTTCTCATTAATCTTTTCTGACCTGCTGACATCACCCCTTCTAATCTTAACAGTCTGACTACTGCCTCTTATAATTCTAGCAAGCCAATACCACCTGTCCAATGAATCACCCCCATGAAAAAATTCTATATTTCGATATTGATTTCTCTACAGACTTTTTTAATCATAGCATTCACTGCCACAGACTAATCATATTTTATATCCTCTTTGAAGCCACACTAGTTCCCACCCTAATTATCACCACCCACTGAGGCAACCAACCAGAACGCCTCAATGCAAGATCACACTTCTTATTTTACACACTAGTAGGATCCCTTCCTTTATTTGTAACATTTGTTTATACTCCAAATACCTCAGGTTCACTAAATATGCTAGTAATAATATTTACTATCCAAGAGCTATTAACCTCCTGATCCAATAATCTTGTATCACTAGCATGTATCATGGCCTTCATAGTAAAAATACCTCTATATGGACTTCACCTATGACTCCCCAGAGCCCATGTAGAATCCCCTATTGCCAACTCAATAGTACTTGCAGCAGTACTCCTAAAGCTAGGCGGTTACCGTATAATATGGCTTACTCTTAACCTCAACCCCCAACAGAACATATAGCCTACCCTTTCCTCATGTTGTCCCTATGAGGAATAGTTATGACAAACTCTATTTGTCTACGACAAACAGATCTAAAATCACTTATTGCCTACTTCTCCATAAGCCACATAACACTTGTTATTATGGCTATCCTCATTCAGACCCCTTGAAGCTTTATAGATGCGATCATCCTTATAATTGCTCATGGACTCACTTCATCCTTACTCTTCTGCCTAGCAAATTCAAACTACGAGCAAGTCCATAGCCAAACCATATTTCTTACCTGAGGCCTTCAAACACTGCTCCCGCTAATAGCCTCTTGATGACTTCTAGCAAATCTTACTAGCCTTGCCTTACCCCCTACCATTAATCTAGTAGAAGAACTCTTTGTGACTATGGCCTTATTCTCCTGATCAAATATCACTATTATGCTTATACGACTTAATATACTAATTACAGCCCTTTACTCCCTGTATATGCTAATCACAACACGAGGGACACTTGCATATTATATTAACAGTATTAAACCTTCCTTTACATGAGAAAACACATTAATACTTATACATCTTGCACCTATCTTCCTATTATCCTTAAACCCTAAAATTATTATGTGGTTTGCATGCTGTAGCTATAGTTTAACCAAAACATTAGATCGTGGATCTAACAATAAAAGCCTGCAACTTCTTACCTACCAAGAAAGTATGCAAGAACTGCTAACTCATGCCCCCATGTTTAACAACATGGCTTTCTCAACTTTTAAAGGATTGGAGTTATCCATTGGTCTTAGGAACCAAAAACATTGATGTAACTCCAAATAAAAGTAACAAACATGTATCTTCCATGGCTATAACAGCCCTAATCCCCTTAATTCCTACCGATTACTATTACCTTAGTCAACTCCTGCAAAATAGGCTCATACCCAAATTATGTAAAAACATCTATCGCATATGCCTTCATCGTTAGCCTCATCCCAACAACGTTTATATGCACAGACCAAGAAGCCATTATCTCAAACTGACATTGAATGATGATCCAGACTCTCAAACTCTTACTAAGCTTCAAACTAGACTACTTCTCCACAAAATTTATCCCAGTAGTGCTATTCATTACCTGATCTATTGTAGAATTCTCAATATG
Organism: Homo sapiens; assembly: GCF_000001405.40. NCBI lineage: Eukaryota > Metazoa > Chordata > Mammalia > Primates > Hominidae > Homo > Homo sapiens. The sequence continues at coordinate 155,454,529 of NC_000004.12, read as the reverse complement.
ATATATAAATTCAGACCCTAACATTAATCAGTTTTTCAAGTGCTTATTTTCTTCATCACGATATTAATTCTGGTTACTGCCAACAACCTCTTTCAGCTCTTTATCGGATGGGAAGGTGTAGGAATCATGTCTTTCTTACTAATCAGCTGATGGTATGGCAGAGCAGATGCTAATACAGCAGGCCTCTAAACAGTCCTGTACAACTGCATCAGTGATATTGGCTTTATTTTAGCTATAGCATTGTTCCTGTCCTCCAACACATGAGAATTTTAACAAACATTTATTCTAGACCAGATCCCCATCTCCTTCCATTAATTAGCCTTCTCTTAGCAGCAGCAGAAAAGTCAGCTCAATTTGGCCTCCATCTCTGACTTCCATCTGCAATAGGAGGCCCAGCCCCAGTCTCAGCCCTACTCCACTCCAGCACTACAGTTGCAGCAGGAGTTTTCTTGCTTATCCGCTTCTACCCTTTAATAGAAAATAACCTATCAATCCAAACCTTTATATTATGTCTGGGGGCTATTACTACCTTATTCACAGTTATCTGTGCTCTAACACAAAATGATATCCAAAAAATCATAGCATTCTTCACCTCAAGCCAGCTAGGCCTTATAATAGTCACAATTGGCATTAATCAGTCACACCTAGCATTCCTTCACATCTGCACCCATGCCTTTGTTAAAGCTATATTATTTATATGTTCAGGGTTCATCATCCATAGCCTCAATGATGAACAAGACATCTGAAAAATAGGAGGGCTATTCAAGACTTTGCCCCTCACTTCCTCATCCTTTATTATTGGCAGTCTTGCACTTACAGGCATGCCTTTCCTTACAAGCTTTTACTCTAAGGCCTCATCATTGAAACTGCAAACACGTTCATACACCAACGCCTGAGCCCTTTCTATTACTCTTATTGCCACTTCCTTGACAGCTGTCCGTGATACCCATATTATTTTCTTCGCTCTTATAGGACAACCTTGCTTCATGACTCTGGCTGCTATTAATGAAAATAACCCCTTCCTAATTAACTCAATTAAGCGCCTAACAGTTGGCAGCATATTCGCCGGATTCCTCATCACCAACCGTATTATTCCTGCTTCATCCCCAAAAACAACCATACCACTCCACCTGAAGCTCACAGCCCTAGGTGTGACCATCTTAGGCTTCTCACTAGCAATGGAGCTTAATCTTGAAACTAATAACCTTAAACCAAAATACCCATTACAGACATTCAACTTCTCCAACATACTAGGATTTTATTCATCCACAATTCACCATACAAACCCCCACTCAGGCCTATACACAAGCCAAAATCTGGCTTCACTTCTACTAGACCTAATATGACTAGAAAAGTCTATACCAAAGACCATTACACAACCCAAATTTCAGCCTCCATTACCATATCTACTCAGAACGGCCTAATTAAACTCTACTTTCTTTTTTTATCCCATCCCTTCTAACTCTGCTCCTAATTATCTAATCTATTATCCTGATAATTTCAATCAGAACATAAATACCAACAAATAATCATCAACCAGCAACTACCACTAATCAGCATTCATAACTGTACAAGGCAGCCACATACACAGAATCTTCACGCAACAACCCTGCCCCCTCACCCTCAAAAATCGTCCAGCTCTTTATGCTATTAAAATTAACCATGATCCTCACTGCATCATGCTCAACTATTCACAGAACCAGCATCAACTCCATTATTAGTCCTAATAATAAGGCTCCTCAGATATCAATACTTGACCCTCATGTTTCAGGATACTCCTCAGTAGCCATCGCTGTGGTATAGCCATAAACAATCATCATACCACACAAATGGGGAATTAAAAAAACATCAACCCCACGAAAGCACCACCAAAATTCAACAAATTCAACCCACAGCACCACTAATAATTAGCCCTAGACCTCCGTAAATAGGATAAGGTTTCGAAGAGAAACCTACAAATCCTATAACCAAAGTGACACTTAATAAAAATATAGTATATGCCATTATTCCCACATGGACTATAATCATGACTAACGACATGAAAAATCATTGTAGTATTTCAACTATAAGAAGGCTAATGGCCAATATATGCAAAACACACCTGCTAATAAAAACTATTAATTATTCATTGATCTTCCCACATCATCTAACCTTTCTATATCATGAAACTTTGGCTCACTTTTTGGTGCCTGCCTAACCCTCCAAATCATTACAGGACAGGACTGCTTTTGGCCATGCACTACACATCAGACACCTCAACTGCCTTCTCTTCAGTCACTCATATCAGCCGACATGTAAACTTCGGCTGAATTGTTCGCTATTTTCATGCTAATGGCAGTTCAATATTTTTTATCTGCGTCTTCTTACACATTGGCTGAGGTTTATACTATAGATCATTTACATTCCTAGAAACCTGAAATATTGGCATCATCCTCCTACTCAAAACAATGGCAACAGCATTCATAGGCTACATGCTCCCATGAGGCCAGATATCATTCTGAGGCGCTACAGTAATTACAAATCTACTATCAGCCATCCGATATATTGGAACTGACCTTGTGCAATAAATCTGAGGTGGGTTCTCAGTCGACAAAGCCACCCTTACATGATTCTTCACTTTCCATTTCATCTTACCTTCATCATTACAGCCCTAGCAGCTGTTCACCTTTAATTCCTACATGAAACAGGATCTAATAACCCTTCAGGGTTTTCATCAGACCCTGACAACATTACCTTCCACCCCTACCATACTACCAAAGACATTTTAGGTTTAATTTTTCTCCTCCTCCTCCTAATAATTCTAGTACTATTTTCGCCTGACCTCCTGGGCGACCCAGATAACTATGCATTAGCCAACCCCCTCAACACCCCATCCCACATTAAGCCAGAGTGGTACATTTTGTTTGCCTATGCAAGCAAAAGTGTTTATCCAGACAACAGAATATTACTCAGAGCTAAAAGAAATAAGCTACAAAAGGCTATTAAAAGACATGGAGGAATCTAAAATGCATACTACTAAGCGAAAGAAACCAATCTGAAAAGGCTACCTACTGTATGATTTCAACTATATGACATTCTGGAAAAGACAAAATTATGGTGACAGTAAAAAGATCAGAGGTTGCCAGGGATTAGGGAGGAGAGAGGGATGACGAGACAGAGCACAAAGGATTTTTAGGACAATGAAACTGTTCTGGATGATACTGTAATGGTGAATAGATGTAATTATAAACCCATAGAATGTACAACACCAACGGTGAACCCCAATGTAAACTGACTTTGGGTGATAATGATGTGTCCATGTAGGTTCATCAGTTGAACAAATGTATCACTCTGATGGCAGATGTTGGTAATGGGGAGGCTATGCATGTCTGAGGACAGGGAATATATGGAATATTTCTGTATCTTCCACTCAATTTTGCTGTGAACCTAAAATTGCACTAAAAAAGTATATTTAAAAATATTATTGTGGACCTCAAAGACTTCTGTTTATGTAGGATATATCCATAATGTCAAATATAAAACTACATGAAGTTAGAAAAATGGTAAAAGTTTATTGTGCATACAAAGGAACAATTCACAAACCAGGAGAACTCAGCCCAAGGTGGTAAGAATCCCCACTCAGAGCAGTTACAACATAGTTTTTACACATAAAGGAGGAAGTATGTGACCTTTTCTGTGACTGCCTGTTACACATCATCATTTTGTTAAGGCAGCTGGAGCTGTTTAAGCTAATTTCTATAGCTGATTGTCTAATTTCACTGATGCATGTTGACAAGGATATAAAGCTTATGTTTATGATTTTGTGTTTTGTTGACGCTTACAGCTAGTGTTGGTGGGGAATCAAAATGACCGATGTTTTGGCCATGTGGTAACAGGTGGTTGGCTTTGGGCTATATCTACACTGTGACCTCCATTTTTATTTTTTATTAATGACATATAGAGTGTTAGAAATTAAAACTGAGAATTTTTGAATATTTATTAGTTTGTTTTAAAACAATAATAACAAACCTATTTGATTAATATAAATACTATATTTTAGGAAAAGTAACTACATGTTTCCAAGCAAATAATATCTGAGAAGAGTAGCACTGTTTTGTATTTCATAACTGTCCTGCTTAATAGATAATGGCTGGATTCTCATATCTACTTCTGCATTCAATCTGTTTTGATGTATTATTTTTGTTGAAGTACATAATGAAAATTTGGCCTCTCATGAATATAGTTGAAAAGGGGAGGAGTATTTTAATGGTTCTTTCAGACAACTGCGGATATTATTTTTGATACTACACCAAAAATCAATAAATTATATTTCATTAAAAGTTAACTACTATATGGAATGTGAAACCTTATCTATAACTTTTTGTATTCTGATACATGAAAATTCATTGTCATATCTTGAACTTTCAAAAAATCTTTTCCCATGCTTTGTTTTGTAATACCACACACTGATTATTTGAAAAATATTGGCTTGCTAAATTATAAAGATCTTCCAAATTCAATACACAATATCAGAAAATCACAGTCACTAATAACATCATTAATCAGAAAAATTAGCTATGGATTTCCCATAACCTTCAGCAGCCTTCTCCTCACATCTGAGTAATCAGAATTGAGGAACAAGGTCACTCCTTACTGCACAAAAGTAAGGTGAAGATGGGCAAGGGATGATGGAACTGGATCTACCACAATATGTTATATATATTCATACAATGCTGTTGTTGTGTCATTCATATACATATGAATGGCCATAGTATATTTAAGAAACAAAGCAAAGATATTTGCATTTGGAAAGTGACTGGAGAAGGAAGCATGCCAAAGTTCAGTGCTGTTTTTCTTAAGTTATTAGCGCTATGGATAATTTCTTTCATTTCATTTTTGTTTTTTTCTATATTCTCGATTTGATCTTCTTGAGGACCCCTTTGAATAGCAAAGCTGAAAAGGTGCATGTCCTACATCTGATGATAAACGTTCCACTTGATGCTATCAAGTAAAATTGAAAGCTGTATGAACTCTATGTACACACGAGTCATTGTTCTTATGTGTAGTTTTGGTAAATTAAACATATGTTTAGCCTGTTTTTATCAAAGTATCATATGACATTTTGCACACTTTTGTGTCCACTACATGTATTATGTAATGATCTAATAGATGTTGCTAATAAAGGCAAGGAGAAAACCAACTGGCTCTGTTTTTCAAGTATAAATTATATGTGTAAATTATTTAAATATAATATAAATTATATTTGAAATACATTGTGCATCTGAAATATCAGAAGTCTCCCTGACATATTTCCTCATCTCTTCCTTTAATTCATACATTATTAGGCCAACATTAACAATCTTGGAATACATATTCTAACATTAGATCAAGACTATCATGTTAAAAGAAAATCTGTTTTTCAGTTTGTGGCATGAATATAAGTATATCCTGTTGGTTAAAAATATGTTTATGGTAAAATCATCCTAATAATCCATTTTCTATTTCTGTTCCTGCCACTAGAAATGCTAGGGACTAGATCTAAATATGATGTTTGTGTTGTAATCACTGTTCCCATTTCACTGGTCTTTGAGCACTACATAGCAGGAAATCTCATCGTGGGGGAGGATTGAGCTCTTTTTGGTAAAAGACAGTGATACCTTGGGATGTGGCAGCTCTACAAATCTACATTGCTAACACCAGTCAACTGTTCTTATGAAATACTATGATTAATGAAATAAGTATTTAAATACTTATAATGAGCTTATTTTCCTAAGATGGAAGGGACTAATGGCTGATAATTTAATTTTGGTCTCCTATTTGGTCCTCCTCCAGGTTCTAACTTCTAATCAATACCTATAATGATACTTTTTGAAAAATAGAAAAAACACCCAATTAGCTCCATTTTTAATTAAAATTTTAATTTTTAGATAATTGTAGATTCACATGCAGTTGGAAGAAATAATACAGATATATCTCATGGGCTATTCACCCAATATCCACCAATGGAAAAACTATAACAACGCCAAAAAAATCAAACACCACAAAATCACAAGTAACATGCTGACATTGATATAAGCAAGATACCGAATAGTTTCACTACCACAAGGATCCCTCATGTTGCACTTTTATAGCTGCACACATTTTTCTCTTATCTTCACCTTCTCCTTAACACCTGGCAGCCACTAATTTGTTCTACATTTCTGCAGTTTTGTCATTTCAGGAAAAATACATAAATGGAATTACAAGATACAACCTTTTGGGATTGCTTTTTTCACTCAGCACAAATCTCTGAATAGTCATCTAGGTTGTTGCATTAACAATTTTTTTTAAATTACTGAGTAATTTCCCAAGAAATGGAAGTACCACAGTTTGCTTAACCATTCACTTTTTGAAGGACATCTGGATTGTTTCCAGTTACTGACTACTATAATTAAAACTACTACACATATTTTTGGGTAACCTTTTGGGTGGGTATAAGTTCCGTTTCTGTGGGATAAATGCCCAGGTCTCCAGGTTCCTTATTTGGCCTCTGTTGACTCTCAAGTTGTAGCAGGGAGTCTGTCTCCAACTGCTAGGGTTGGGACTTCCAACTCCACACGAGGTGTCTGCTGGTAACTCACTGACTGCGATGGATATGAGTGCCTTGTCATGGCTCCCTAAATGGCCTCTACTAATAATACCACCACAACTACCAACACTACTAAAGTCATGTGGACTCTGCTAACAGTAAGGTGGACTCCTTACCACCCAGTGAGAATGAAACTACCAATTCCTTACTCAGCTTTCCCAGACGTTACCCTGGAAGGAAGGGTGAGTGCCTTGTCACAGTCAGGCATGAGTGGAAAGCTTGGCTTCCCCACTTGGCTTTTGCCATGGGTGGGGTAGAGCCACAGTTTTTTTGTTATTGTTGTTGTGGCTGGCTGGAGTAGAGCTGTTATTGTCTAAAAGTTTTCTGTCTTACTAGTCTTCTCAAGACTGTCTTGGATTTTTGGCTAGAGAGAACAGGCTTTTGTTGGAGATTTGTTTATTGTTTTGTCAGTGTCCATTGGTACTTCCAGGTTGACAGCTGCTTTAGCTCCAAGTCTGGGGGATATATGAGGAGACAAAAACAAAAAAACAATGGAACTCATTACCATGCTGTTCCTTGGGTCTTCAGTTCCCTAGCTTGTCTGCCTCCTTCTCTCCACCTTTTAAGGTCTTATGTTTGACCTATATATAAATGTTTCAGGTTTTCAGTTTTACTTAATGGGCGGAATCAGGAAAAATATGTCTACTCCATTTTTCTGGAAGCAGAAGTCCAACTCCACATTTCTTTAAGGAGTAAAGCTTACCCTGCTCTGTCTGGCATTCAAGTGTGTCCCAATTTACATATTATATCTTCTCATTGGTATACAGAAGAGGAGTCTTTTACTTATCTTAAAAATAATTAATAATTCTGACATTTAGATCTTTTTTTCTTTTTTTGAGCATTGCACATGAAATGGTTTTGCTGCTCCTCTTCTCTGTACTGAAACAAGCTATATTGGTGTGTCAAAGCCAATACAAACACTTGCTCCAAGCAGCCTCCCCCAGCTAAAGAAGCCCACATTGATTTCTGACTATTCTTATAGCACTTGCTCTCTGAACTACTCATTTTGTCCTTTATTACATACACTGCTATCTAGAGACTTTGTGTTATTTGGTGACATTTGTTATTTAATGAATTTCCCATTACTTCCTTGACCTCTAAGATGGTCTTTATACAAAACATAAAGAATTTTATTTCATAATATTTTGTGTCACTCATTTTTGTACCAAAAATATTTGCTTCAATCCCTGTTCATATTCATATAAAAAGTTGCAGTAGTTTCTGAACTACATTCCAAATAGACTTTTAAATATATAGAAGCTTCCTAAAAAATAATCTGGAATTATCAGGATAGTGTTAGTCTAGTTCACAAAATGTCCTAGCATCTGAAGCCTTAAAAAATTGCTAGTTAATATTTGCATTTTATAGATGAGAATTTGAAGCTTTAGATAAAGTCAGTTTGAAAGCAAAAGGGTCAGGTATTGACACTCAGCTGTAAGCTACACTAACCATGTAATATTACCTTAACCAGATCAATAGCTAGTGTTTGAAACATATGATCAAAATTTCTTTTTATAGCATTGTGTTAGCTTCTGTATAAATATAATTATTAGTAACAGTTTTGAAATTAATAAGATGCTTCTTAGAACACATTTACTGCTTTGGGTATCTGATTATTTATTATTTAAAATATCATATTCTTGCCCATCTTTTATAATTTTGAGCATTCTTCCAGGTTGTGGTAATAAAAACACTTCAAGATTACTTACTTTTATCTAGTAGAAAATGCATACAAGTTAAAATGGAAACCAGGTCAATGTACAAAGCAGAATCTGTTAATGAGAGTTTTTAAAAAGGAAAGAATAATCATCTTGAGGTAAAAAATGTGTGTGTGTTTTTTTTTACTTCAACTGTGAATATGGCTCTCAAGCTTAATTTATGCTATTCTTAAACATCAGCTACTTTCCTGGAAAGTGAGGTATAAAGCAAACACACATCAAATCATATTTACTATTAAAAATTAAAAATTTCAGAGGTTTATCTCAGAAAAAAGTTCCCAAGTTATAAAAAGTGTTTGCAAATAAATACATTTTTGGACATCTATAATATACTGTTTAGGTTTGCAGGAGATCAAAAAGAAAAATTTAGAATATACTTAAAATGGCAATAAGGATTATTTATATTTCTATAGTACTTTACAATTAACAAAGTTCATCTATGTACATTTGAATTAATTTGATTCTCAAAGAGTCTGCAAATTAAGCTTTACAGTTTTCATTTTAAGAATTTTAGCATTCACTTTGAAAATCACTTTCTTTGCTACTCAGTAAATTTTCTGTGCATTCTAATTCCCCATGTAATTTGAGATGACTTCATCATCATATGTTCCATCAAGCCTTATGATATTTGCACATTCATTTTAAGCAAACATATTAAAAGATATTACACAATTAATTTCCATTTCACAGAGTGTTCTTCCTTGGTTCAATAGTACGTAGATGATTAAGTATCCACAGTGCTGCTATTGTTCCAGGTATTCACCTGACCTCAATTACTGAAAGAGGGTAAAATGCCCTGAATCTTCCTGTTTTGTGGTGCTACACTGTGAATAATCTCTTTAGATTCTAAAGTCTAGAATGCATAATTTCTGTTTAGTCAATTATTAGTCCACATTGTTTATGCGAGTTCATTGAATTCATTTATGCTAGATAAACACAGTGGTAGATTAAGATTTTAAATCTTATTCTATATATATTTTTCAGAAGTTTTTTTCATGCTTTAGCAAATTATTTATATTCCCAAAACAGGCACATCTGTACAAACTATATGCCTTGACCACAAAAATCTTTAACTGAATTTAGTTGTTGCAGAGCCTATGCAGAGTCTCACCCCAAATCCATCTTCACCTCTCCTTCCTGAGCACCCTGCTAGGTAACATTTCCCTTCTTCACTTGCATTTGGTTACAGCCATATGACTGACTCGGTGGAATGTGAACGAAGTCAAGTGCATCTGTCCTCAGCTGGCCCATAAAATCCTCCCCTGCATGCGTTTCTTCTTCTGATTGCCCAGAATGCTGATGACCCACACTTACCTTGGAAGCCTTATTAAGAATGACAGAATGTTCATTATCCTGAGTCTTGAATGACTGTGTGAAGGGCTGCCCCACCAGCCCGTTCACTGATACTACTGCATTACGTGAGCAAGAAAACATTTTCATTATGTTTACACTCTCCCATATTTTTGCATTTACTTGTTGCAGTCAGAGAAGAACCCAGATTTTGTCAATCTTAAGCTTATAGAGTTTGGGAGATCCTCTTTACGAAAAATAATATAAATTACAAACACAAAATTCACAAAAGTGAATTTACTTTAGAATAAGATTTTTAAAATCTCAATAAATTATAGAAACCTTAGGAATTTAAGTTCTTTTCTTCTGATATCTCTATTGGCAATTAGCATGATTTCTTAGGCAAAAATGCTTGTTGGTTGCTTGACTTACTCTTCCCACCTAAAACTCCTTAAAACTTCCAGCATCTCCCAGCTCTCAAAGAGGCCTTGGCAAGGAAAGGACCCTGGAGCTTAACCATCAATAGCTTCACAGTGAATCTGTTTTTGGTTGCATCAATTAGTTTATCCTAATATGAAAATACAAGTCAGGTCTCATAGGTAGGCAGAATGAGAATGGTACGAGCAATGAGGAGAGAGCACAAAACTTAATGGTTGCACAACTAGCAATACCCTCTTAAGGTAAAGGGAGAAAATAGTTGTATTTATTTAAGCTTTACCTTCCATTGACAAAGCAATTTTGCAAATCTTTCTCAAGTTTTTAGTAATTGGTGTTGCTCATATATGTGGCTTACTCAGAGGGCAATGCCTCTACTCCATAATCTATAGGACTTGCCCTTTCAATACTTTTAACTTCAAGGCAGTCAAATTTTAAACCTTTTCCTCGAAATGGAGGAAATTAAGTTGATCTGTTTTCAAGCTTATACTAGAACACATTGTAGGGTCTCTGAAAATGATACTCCAAAATGATGGCCTTAGAAGCAGCTCTCTCTGACCTTCTGCTACCCTCATGGCTCTGGCCTCTCCATTCTCCCCCAGGCCCACCATAAAACCTAGATTCCTTCTTTCCAAGGTGGGTCATAGAAACCAGAGCTCCTTTTCCCCTGGAGCCAGCCATTAAAACCTGAAAATATTATTCTAACCATCACCCACCATTCTGTATAAAAATGGGCCATAAAGAAATTAACTGACCTACCTTTTTTAATTGTAGGTCATAACACCCTCTTTCCATAGAGGGTCCTGCCACACACCAAGGAGGAACGAATGCTGCGCAGTGAGGCCAAGAGGAGTCTAGACAGACAGGCCTTGCTGGGTTTCCCAACTCTATTGGCAGTAGATCATTCTCTTTTTGCCCAATCGTATTTGTACATGGCTGTCCATATTTTGTCGACCCTAAGCATTAAAATGTACAATTCCTCTGTATCTTTGGATCTTCATTCTGAAGGCTCCTGTGTTATGTAAAACTATGATCAATTAAATTTGTATGCCTTTTCTGTTATTAATTTGACTCTTGTCAGTGACTTTTAACACATCTTCAGAAGTTGAAGGTAAAGCTTTCCTTCGGCTCCTACAACAACATAGAAGGCACTTAAAAATATGCATATAGGGTAAAAATGTCCATAGCCTGCAAGCCCTTTCACATTTCCTAGTCTTACATATTTTTAAAAAATATTAGTAAATGCCAACCTAACCTTTAGTGAGATTAACTGATGGTATAAAAATCTTTGTATTATAAGGAGTCATTTTCCTCTTCAATTTTTCATGTGCTATATCTATACATTTTTAAAAGCAATTTTAGGAGTCTAAAATAACACAGCATCAACCCAAATTATGTGATCTAAAATATCCATATTATGATAATAGTCCAATAATACCCCATATTGTTTGAATATCCATGGGGTATATCACAAGGAGTTAGATCTTTCTGTGCTGGGCGAGCCTCGTCTACCGCAGTTCACGATCCTGGTCTCCTCTGGCTGGGCTCCTTTTCGTCAGGGTCTGCAAATGCCCTAACAGCAAATACTCATACACTTAAGAACCTTTAAGAGCTCTGAAAAGCTCTACACTCACTCTAAAATCTAAGAGGAGAAAGCCAACCATCCTCTCAACAAATGTCAGGAATCCATATCTTTCTTCTTCTTGCCTCCCCAGTGAGACCTGACAACAAGGACACAAATCTCCCAATTAAGGCATTTCCTCTGAATCCAGTACTCTCTGCTTTCAGTCCTAAACGCTATGTCCTCAGGGCCGTCTTTCTATTTACCATATGCCAGAAAAAGAGCACAAAGAGGGAATGATAAAATGACAAACTGTGTTTTCCTTTAGAGACCTTTTCCCTAGAAATGGTTCATTAACCAAACAGAGAAACCAATCCACAAAAACCATCCTGAGGTTTTGAATGTTTAACATCCTAGGAGCAGCACTGGGCCACACTGCCCCCTGGAGGTGGTTTGTGGGCATTGTGCAGACTCTGTGTCACTGAAATAAAAGGCACAATGTGTTTCGGATACGCGGAAACTTTTCCTGAGTCATTTGGAAGATTTGTTTTCTTGTTCTCAAGACTTTTTTTTTTTTTTTGGAGTGACAGAAGGAGAAAACATAGGAATTCCTGATATTAATTGAGGGAATGAGAGGCTTTCCCCTAGAACTCAGAGTAAGCATAGAGGGAATAGAACGGGAACACTGTTAAAACTGGAACGTAGATATGTTTTGATTAGGGGTCACTTGTTGTAATAAGGTGTCTGAAAGGTTTTTCATAATGCTGGCACATAAATGCCTAGAATATATTAAAAGGAGGAAGGGAGAGAGGGAAGGAGGGAGGAAGAGAAAATCACAGTACAAAGGGCCAGTCTGAGATGCAAGGTATGGATATTGTGGGCGTTATTTGTTTCAGATTTAAAGTTAGACAACACCTACCCATCCTAACCAACACCCTATCCAGCCTGCTGCCTCACTTTTATTGATACGTGTCCCACCTCAGCATCTTTTACCCCGGTTTCCCAGATCTGGATGGTACGGGAAGGAGATAAATGATAAAGGAAATAACTGTGTCCAACAGCTCCAAGGTGGAAAAAGAATCTGAGAGCTGGTGGGAGAAAAGCAGAAAAAGTTATTCTGTAAGAGAGAAAATTCCTGGAGGGACTCAATCTAAAGAAGGCAGCAAATGGGTGGGGAGCAAATAGGTGGTGAGGATCAGCCCTGTAGAGGTGTCAGCCCAGAACCATGGCAAAAGCCATGGCTGCCAGGGCAGAGGAAGGGCAAAGCTGCCGACAGTGTCTCACATGTACAGATTATGTGTTAGGTAGCCCTTTTCCAAGGGACAACAGAAAGAATTAGCACTGAGCTCAGGAGAGGATCCCAGAAAGAGGAGGACTAATTTTTCTGCATACCACATACTGGCTCAGACTATCTAGATATGGGGTTCTACTGTAAATAGAATCTGTTTACTCTCAATAGCAAGTGACAAAAGAGAAATTTAAGTTTACAAATAATGCTTTTGTAAAAGTTATTTTCCTTCCTTCTTCCTTTCTTTTTCTTGCTTTCTTTCTCTTTCCTTGCTTCTTTCTTTTCTTTCTCCTTTCTTTTCTTTCTCCTTTCTTTTTTCTTTTTCTTGCTCTTTCTTTCTCCTTTTCTTTCTTTCCTTCTCTTTTTTGAGGCAGGGTCTCACCCTGTCACACAGGCTGAAGTACAGTGGCATGATCACGGCATACTGCAGGCTTGACCTCCCTGGCTCAATTGATCCTCCCACCTCAGCCTCTCAAGTAGCTAGGACTACAAGGACGCACCACCACATCTGGCTAATTTTTTTAATTTTTGTAGAGATGGGGGTCTCACCATGTTGCCCAAGCTGGATAAATTATTTTCTTTCAAATTGTTGGCAAAACATTTTAGTATAACAAAAACACTCTTGCTCTTCTTTAATGTTATTTAAAATTTAAGAAAAATCTAAACACAGAGCAACGATAATTATAAAAGAAAACATTATTTTAATATTTAAAAATATTTCATTTTCACTCCAATCAGGAAACAGTTGAGGGGACGGGTGCAGTGGCTCACGCCTATAATCACAGCACTTTGGGAGGCTGAAGCAGGCAGATCACCTGAGGCCAGGAGTTTGAGACCAGCCTGTCTAACATGGTGAAACCTTGTCTCTACTAAAAATACAAAAATTAGCTGGACGTGGTGGCACGGGCCTTATTCCTGGCTACCTGGGAGGCTGAGGCAGGAGAATTACTTGGACCCGGGAGGCAGAGGTTGCAGTGAGCCAAGATCCCGCCACTGCACTCCAGCCTCATTGACAGAGCAAGACTCTGTCTCAAAAAAAAAGGAAACAATTGAGGAATAAATGTGAGTTAGTTGCTTATTGTAATATTAATATAATCAATCTAGGTATATTTGAAGACATAGCACACTTTTGCCATTAAACTTATTACACTGTTATATTTTCATAGCCCAAAGTGTGCCCAGAATTGGTTCCTTCTGGTGGGCTTGCGCTGAGTGTTACAGTTCTTAAAGATTGTGTGTCGGGAGTTTGTTCCTTCGGATGTTCAGATGTATCTGGAGTTTATTCCCTCCGGTGGGTTCGTGGTCCCACTGACTTCAGGAGTGAAGCTGCAGACCTTCGTAGTGAGTGTTACAGCTCTTGAAAGTCGTATGTCCAGAGTTGTTTGTTCCTCCTGGTGGGTTCATGGTCTCACTGACTTCAGGAGTGAAGCCAGAGACCTTCGCAGTGAGTGTTACAGTTCATAAAGGTAGGGCAGACCCTAAGAGTGAGCAGCAGCAAGATTTATTATGCAGCGCAAAAGAAGAAAGCTCCCACAGCGCGGAACAGGACCCCAGCGGGTTGCCGCTGCTGGCTCCTGTGGCCAGCTTTTATTCCCTTATTTGTCCCTGCCCACATCCTGCTGATTGGTCCATTTTACAGAGTGCTGACTGGTCTGTTTTTACAGAGTGCTGACTGGTCTGTTTTTACAGAGTGCTGATTGGTGCACTTACAAACCTTTAGCTAGATGCAGAGCACTGACCGGTGCATTTTTACAGAGTGCTGATTGGTGCATTTATAAACCTTTAGCTAGACAGAAAGTGCTGATTGGTGTGTTTACAATCCTTTAGGAGACAGAAAATTTCTCCAAGTCCCCACCCCACCCAGAAGCCCAGCCGGCTCCACCTCTCAAAAGCACAGAGGGACAAGCCTTACAACTGAATATTGATAAAAATGGAAGAATTTGGGTAAAATATAAATATATTCACATATTTGGGAATAAACTGAGATAGGTTTTACCTTTAATTTTTCCAAACTGATTTTCTAAAAATTACTTTGGTTACCAAAATTTGTATTAAATTAGGAAAACTCCTCTTAGAGTAATTTTCACCAAAACAAAACAAGCAACAGGTTTTTTTAAAAAAGAGGTTCACAAGCTGAGGGTTCCAGATTAAACATTTCAAGATATCCAAACACACACACGTAAAACAAATAATTAACCTTGGAGAAAGTCTAGCCTTAAAAAATTATCTATCTATCTATCTATCTCTCTCTCTATCTATATAGATAGAGAGATAGATAGATATATGCTTCTTTTTAACTAAAATACTATTCAGATATGAGGGATACATTATGGTGTTGCTCAGCAGTTTTGACGTGAATCACACCGGTTAAACTGAATGTCATCCTTGGCAATACGTATAAGCCTGGACTTATCATAAGCCTCATAAAATATTCAGAGGATTTGTTTTTTGATTTGTTTTGTTTCAACTGCTATATTCAGATATCCAAAGAAAAGTTTTAAAAAATAAAGTGAAAGGAAAAAAGAAAAGGGATAGAGTGAGACAATCTGAATGCTGAATGATAGAATTGCAGTGTCCATTTCAAAGCATCCCTTAATACCAGCTGTCTCCCCATTTACTCATTTCATTCATTCATCAATTGTCAAGTGTCTGTCATGGACCAGGACCTATTCTAAGCTCTGGTGATATATTCAACAAAACAATGACCCTGTTCTTACTATTTTTGTTGAAAGACACAGAAAATTTTAAACAAAACAAATAAACTACTAAATATATAATATCCTACTGTAATAAGTGCTTAAAGAAAAATGATGTAGGGTAATGGAATAGAGAGGGGTGGGAAGGGTTGGGATAGAGTCTGGCAACATGGGCATCTCTGATGTGGTGACTTCAGAGGCGAGATCTGAATGCAGTTCTTAGCATCTACCTATGGGGATTCCAGGAGAAGAACATATTAGGTGGGGGGCTGCAGATATAAAGGCAACAAGCTAGAACAGAGTCAAAAATGGGAAGAGTAGTAGTAGAAGTAGCCCAAGACCAGAGTGTGTAGGGCATTGTAAACACTTATGAGGATTTGGGATTATATTCTGACAGATGCTTGTGACACACAATTGAGCTAGCTATAAAAATGATGCTTTAAATGCCCACAAAGAAAATGGTAAGTAATAAACATGGGCTATCAATCTTATTAACTACATAGCTGGTACCAAATGATTTACATTCTGCATATTTCCACTACCTCAACTGTAATCAAGCTAGTTTTTCTTTTTTACAGCTCATACTATTAAAAAACATTTTTTTTCACTTAACATGTAAGACTATAATGTTGTCCGGGCACGGTGGCTCACGCCTGTAATCACAGCACTTTGGGAGGCCGAGGTGGGTGGATCACAAGGTCAGGAATCCGAGACCAGCCTGGCCAACATAATGAAACCTTGTCTCTACTAAAAATACAAAAATTAGCCTGACGTGGTGCCACGTGCCTGCAGTCACATTTACTTGGCAGGCTGAGGCAGGAGAATCGCTTGAACCCGGGAGGCAGAGGGTACAGTGAGCTGAGACTGCACCACTGCACTCCAGCCTGGGCGACAGAGCAAGACTCCGTCTCAAAAAAAAAAAACAAAGACTATTATGTTGAATATAATTTTTTTTTTTTTAGACAATTTCACTGAAGCAATGTGTTTCATTTCTCATTGACGACTTCCACAATTCTGATTAGAACCCATGGTATGCCTCCTGGGAGATAATCCCTACTGTAGTGATTAAACATAATAGGTACCAACAGTAGAAATTGTAAAATAATATATCACATGTTAAATTATAAAAAACATATGACTCTATTGATCTAAATATAATATAAGATAATTGTTTCTCACCCTCCCCACTTGTAATTCTTGGTCAGTCTAGTAAACTATATACTAAAAATCCATTATCAATCAGGTATAATTTATGATACATCCACATTATTCAAGTGCTTATACAATAATGCTGCTATTTAGAAATCTTTGCCAAAATCAGGAAAAATGCTCTTCTCTTTTTACGAGTCCCTAATTAACTGAATCTTTTCATGAGTGGTCAAATAAATATTTAGAGTTCCAGAAGATAGAAATCAGTGGAAATGTGATTATTCCTATATTTCTACTCAAATTCATAAAACATATCATGCAATAATTACATATTACTTTTACACATTTCTCAGTCTTTTTCTACTAGACCTCAGTTTAATTTAAAAATTCTGACCAGCTAAATTACTCTTATTTTTAGGGAGGTGAAAAAAAAAAGAGAGAGATTTGTTCAAGGAAAAAGAATACCATTGGTAACACTTGGTAACACTCTCAAAGTGAGATGGAAACTCGACTTCCTGAGCCTTTTTAATAACCTAGATAAGATGACGTCAGCTATAACTTATCTTACTTTCTTGGGGCATTTTGTGGCAATCGTCTTTTATTTAAAAAAAGTAATAAGTAATTATTATGAATAATTATTTTTATAAAGAGGAAAAAAGTAATTCCCAGATTATTTTGAGCTTCCATTTTCTTACTTTGTAAATTGCATATATTTTCTCAGTGGAACATAACCTTCAATGCCTTGCACACCATGCCTAAGAAGCAACAGTAAGAGTTTGCCAAATCCATCTTTCCCAGATGAAGCAAAGATTATCACATGGCAAACATTCAAGACTTTTGGTCTACACGGAAGGTTTATTCAAAGATGTTCTGGATCAGTGGGCTAAATCTCTCCCAGATCCACCCACAATCATACTTTTAATATTTCACAATTTCTACCAAATGGTTATTCTCTCCTTCTTTCAAACTTATGCTTATTTGGAAAACCTTAAAGAATGGTTTTGCTTCCCACATAGAAACATTCCGGGCTGAGCACGGTGGCTCATGCTTGTAATCCCAGCACTTTGGGAGGCCGAGGCAGGCGGATCATCTGAGGTCAAGAGTTCGAGACCAGCCTGGTCAACGTGGTGAAACCCCATCTCTATTAAAAACACAAAAATTAGCTGGGAGTGGTTGTGCATGCCTGTAATCCTAGCTACTCTGGAGGCTGAGGCAGGAGAATTGCTTGAACCCGGGAGGTGGAAGTTGAGATCATGCCACTGCACTCTGGCCTGGGAGAGAGTGAGACTCTGACAAAAATAAAAAATAAAAAAAAAAGATGAAAGAAATATTCCTATGTCTAATATACACTTGATTTTCAAATAATTTTATTATTTATTTATTTTGTATTTATTATTTGTTTTTGCAAACAAGATCTCACTCTGTCACTCAGGCAGGAGTGCTATGGTGCAATCACAGTTCACTGCAGCCTCGAGCTCCTGGACTCAAGCCATCCACCTGCCTCAGCCTCCCAAGTTCTTGGGACTGCAGGCACACACCACCACCCAGCTAATTGGTTTTTTTTTTGAGGGGGGCAGGGGGGTTGTTTTGTTTTTGTTTTATAGAGACAGGGTCTCACTTTGTTGTCCAGACTCCAATCATTTTTATATGCAGCAAAAGAAAAATGAGATTCAATAGAACTATAATTCACATAAAATAGAATCTTGATAAATAAGGAAAACTTTCCTCTCTTTATAACGTGATTCTTCCTGAATTCATCATACATTCAATTAGTCAAAACTACATTCTGCTCTTTCTTTTGCCTGCTTTAAGGCTTGGTCATTAGTTATTAATTAATATTCACTGGCTGTAATGTTCAGAACATATTAGATTTGCAAACTTCATCAGACCACCAAGGGCAATGTTGTATCTGAGTGGAAGGAACAGGTTTGATTATAACCCATACATAGGATCACATTAACCATGTGAAAAGAGGGTGTTGAAGGAGGAATCCCAAAATTGAGAGAGTGATAACAAATCTGAATGTGATCACTACATTAGCAACCAGTTATCAGTACCCTTGTAGAACTTTTAAAACTTTAGCACATAATTTACTCCCAAGATAGAACTAAGCAATGTAATCTCTCAACCACAATGAGATAATAAAAAAGGAACCAGCTTACATGTCGAAAAACTAAAATCACCTCTTCATATCTTTTTCAATAAAGAAGATATCCATTTTTCTTCCATACATTCTGTACACAATTTCTCAGCTTTTATGGTATCCCTGGTAGTGGTCTCTGCCTTTGTGATATATTTAGGAAAAAAATAAGAGAAAGATAGCATTTTTGCTGGGGGAGACAGATGATTAACAATAAATCTAATAAATAAATTACGTAGCATGTAAGAAGATGAAACTTCTATAAAAAAACTAAAGACTATCATAAGAAGAATGAAAGTGGCTATGGGGAGGGGCCTATTGCAATTTGCAATAAGTGAATCAGGGTAGACGTTATTCAGAAAATGTCATTAACTAACGAGACATAAAAGAAATGAAGAAGCAGCTCATGTAGCTATGTGAAGGAAGGGTATTTCCAAGAGGAAAAAGGGAGTGTAAAGAGCCTAAGGAAGCAACATACTTGGCCTAATCAGGGAATGCAAGGAGGCCAGCATGGCTGGACCAGGGTGAAAGAGAAAAATCAGCTAGGAAGGTGATGCAATAATCAGGCCAGGGATGACTGTGACTGGGACTAGAGTGGAGGCAGTGAAAAAAAAAGATGAAAAATGGTCAGATTTGAATAGTACGTTGAAAGCAGAACCAATAGAATTTTTCACAAAAACAAATTCAACATTTGTCATCCACATGTCAATATTCATTATCCATAGGTCATCATTAAGAGAAGAAAAGAAACAGAGAATTACTATTTATTGAATTGAACTCTGATCCAGACAACAGTAGCAAGTTGATGGTAAAGGGATGGAAAAACCAACACAGGTCTCTGTGGATTAATAATGAGTTTCCAAATCTCTTGAAGATTCTGCTAGCTTAAATTTTTTAAAATAACTAAAATGTAAAGAACTTTAAATGTACGAATGACAAAGAGTCAAAGTAGACTTATTTTGTTGTCATGTTTTTCAACAGGCTTCTGAAAACACAGCTGTTAGAGAGAACTGAGTGAAATATTCTATACAATAAGAGCCCCTTGTCTGAAAAAAACATTCCCAAAAGATACTCAGAGTGGACAAGAGCCCAGGAAGGAAACTTCTGGGAAAGTGAAGATTCAAACAAAATGCTTATTTGTAACAATAGAGAGAAAGTAAGGAAATGTCTTTTATAATTGCCAGAGTTATGCAGAAAGCCCTCCAATCCCTATTCACATAACCCCCATTAACCCAGACCTTGAGTCCTTTTTGTGTCCTCTACTGAACTCAGAAACTTGGATGTCCTAGAATATTTAGTATCACTTTCCTCAAGGGTAGAAAAGTTTTTTAAAACAAATATTACATTGATAATAGATAACACGTGTGTGCTACGTGCCAGGCACAGATTATCCTGTATGACAACACCCCTATGTAGTAATTATCTCATTATCCCCATTTTATAATGATGAGTCTTAAGTCAAAGAAGTTAGGTGTGTCCAATGTTGCATAGCTAGTAAGTGGTGAAATCTAGTTTCTAATACAGAACAATGAAAGAGGGTTTTGGTCACCTGTATGAAAAATCACAGTTTCTGAGTAATAGGAAGGTCATTGTCTGCAAAGCAAACTGAATAAACAGAGTTGTGAAATAAAATCATATTTTGAGCAAAAAATCCATCCTTTAATGTTTTTCCTCATTTGTGGTAAGGTCCACAGTTTAGTTCCATACCTTGCCTGTGCAGCTTAATTCAGACCTAGGACACCATTTCCTCACTTCTATGCCTATTTAAAACTCACCACTCAATGCCTTACAACCTCCTTTATGCCTTTCCTACTCATTCTGACTCATCTTTCCCTTTCCCTAAAGGGCTTATTTCTCCACTGATGATTCTGGGGCTTAATCATACTATTTGCCTTGTTGTTGAAGTGTTCCTTGTAAGTGTATCTAGGGTGATAACTACATGTGAAAATTGATGTCTACAGATGCACTGGATAGGTCATTTTCTATCACTGAACTTTGCACTATTTATGGTTTTCCATTTTCAGTCAGCAGCAAACAGAACAAACAAACTGATATGGTTTGGCTTTGTGTCCCCACTCAAATCTTATCCTGAACTGTAATCTCCAGGTGTTGAGGAAGGAACGAGTGGGAGGTGACTGGATCATGGGAATGGTTTCCCCCATGCTGTTCTTGTGATAGTGAGGGAGTTCTCACGAGTCTGATTGCTTCGTAAGCATCTAACATTTCCCCTGCTTGCACTTCTCTCTCCTGCCACCATGTGAAGAAGGTCCTTGCTTAACCTTCACGTTCCACCATGACTATAAGTTTCCTAAGGACTCCCAAGCCATGTGGAACTGTGAGTCAATTAAACCTCTTTCCTTTATAAATTACCCAGTCTCAGGTATTTCTTTATGGCAGTGTGAAAACGGACTAATATACAAACACACATCATTTAACTTTGCAAATTCAGAAAAAATCAATTCCAGATTAAAAATCAGTCTTTCCTGTAACTTCTCAGTAATCAATGCAGTATTTCTTCCCCAACGTTCTCTTTTGTGGGAAGGGCTTCTATAGAGCACCATAGCAATCAAGATGGGGAAGGGATGAAGAGAAGTGGGACATCTTTGGTCTGTGACCCTCCTCTGTTCTCACAGGCTTCCACAGTGATGTGATGGGTCAGCCAGTTCTTGCAACTGGCCTTTGTCACCATGACGTGGGTTACCTGATGTTCACAGTCCTACACGCCCTCCTTTGTTTTCAGTTGGCATATTCAACAACAGAAACTTTCAATTCTGTGGCTCACTCCCTCTTACTTCTGGGCACTTTTGGGAGCCCTAGAGACTTTGGAAAACTCTCCCACACTATTCTGGGCTTTGGGAGAGCAGGAGGCCACCTCAGACTCCTTTTTGCCTTGCCTTGCCATCCTTGCTAATCCCTACTCTGGTTCCATTCTGGGCTTCTCTAAGAGGGTTGCAGTGCTCTTAGACCATGTCCTGGAAAATGAGATACAAATACTCTATACTCTAGGATTCCTCCCCTAGAAAGTGTACGCCGTTCGATCTTCTTCCTCCAGAACATAGGATGTGGCCTCAGTAGAGGGCAGTAGGAAGCATCCCACAGTAATCTCTAAACTATTTTTCATCTTTCTCTTCCTCACAGCTCCACTCCTACCTCCCAACATTATTATAAAAAGGTCTTTTCTGAGCCAGGCGAGGTGGCTCACGCCTGTAATCCCAGCACTTTGGGAGGCCGAGGTGGGCAGATTACCTGAGGTCAGGAGTTCAAGACCAGCCTGGCCAACATGGTGAGACCCCGTCTCTATTGACAATACAAAAATTAGCCGGGAGTGGTGGCACATGCCTGTAATTGCAGCCACGCTGGAGGCTGAGGCAGGAGAATTGCTTGAGCCCGGGAGACGGAGGTGGCAGTGAGCTGACATTGTGCCACTGCATTCCAGCCTGGCCAACAGGGCAAGACTCCATCTCAAAAAAAAAAGAGAAAAGAAAACAAAAAGTATACTTCTTACTTCCTCCTGTGTTCTTCTCTGCTTTGTGGTTTGCTGATTAAAATCTATCCTGCAAATCCTTTAGACTTTGCTTTTAATGTGCAATGCTAAAGTTTTCAAGTTCGAAGTTGAGCATTAACTCTCCTTTTTTGTTCTGTATGTATGTAGTAAGAAACCTACTTGAAAAGCTGTACATATAAATAGTCATTGATGAGGCCTGAGTCATAGGGGAATGGATAGTAGTGAAAGACCTTGAAAATTATACAATTTAAAATAAAAATTTTGTTCTACTGGTATGTCTTCTTATCAATAACTAAATACAACCTTTCTATAGCTTCTGTCTTATATATTGCCAGAGCTAGGCACCTAGTTGTATTCTTGACACATTAAGTGAGTAAATAAAGTAAAGACAAGAAAAAATAGTTATTGAGAAATGTTTCAAAATGTCTTAAAGTGCATGGGAAAAATGCAACATTAGTAATAATAACTGTAATTATACTAACTGCTAGTGCCATGAACCAGATGCTGTTCTAGTACTTTGTGTATATTTACTCATTTAATCCCCACAAGTACCCTCTGAGTTAGGTACTATAATGAAGTGCACAAAAGTAAAGCAATTTGCCCAGGGTCAAACACGAGAAATCTGGGAAGCTGAATTCCAACCAAGGCTGTTTAGCTCCATTCTTTGAGTTCATACCAACTCTGCCAGTGGTACCTCTCAGTAGAATTTCTTTATGGATATGCCAATTATTAAAAATACATGCAAACTTATGCCAGACCTTTCAATGCATGTTACACAACCTCATCTCTGCCTTCAACCACTTTCAACTTGAAATTATTTTCTGATGTTTTCCCTGAAACCTTTGGCCTGAAAATATTAGATGTTGAGATTGTACTGCCTCCTGTTTTTGCATTTGGTTTCCTTCTTTCTGTAATTACAGTTGGACATTCAGTGAATTTTTTAAACGAATGTGTCTTTTATTATCATTTCTCAGATGCTGGCTTAGGGTATTTGTCTCTCTAACTCATATCTGCATGACAATTATCACTGTCTGTGCTTTTTCATCCTGTTTTCTGTTCTTCCTTCAGGGCATTTTGGAGGTTAATTTTCCAGGCTGTCCTGTCAAATGTAGCAAAGCCTCATTTTACTTTACTAATCATATGTAAACATGTGTTGTTTGAGCTAAGTTAATGTCCTTGCTACCTGCTGCCTAGACTTTTTTATGGCTCCAAAATGTCATCCAAAGTATCCTTCCCACATCTGAAATAGCACAAAATATTTATTCTGCTAAAATCCTACCTTCTCATATGTCAAAGGCATTGAACATTACTGTGATAGGCAAGACCATAGCAAATCATAACCAACAAGCTTTAGCAATATCTGTCCCCTACGATATGCTGCATACTTATCCTGCTCCTGTGTAATACATTTCTTTAATATAGGTCAAAAGCTATCCAATGACAGGAACCAGGATTTCTTGAACTGAAGCCAATGGTATATATTACGGAAATGCTCGGTAAACAATGATTAAAGACAATGACAATGATGGCACATTTATTCTAACTGGCCTTAAGTTAATGTTATAAAGGGGAGGGTTTCCTCCCTGTGGTTAGACTGAATCAAGAAGATCATAGTTGTAAACCACATAAATATATATTATGTTTTCCACAATGCAAAATTTTGACCTGCAACCTAATTTTTATTAATGCTCTCCATTTTTAAATTTCTTATGCTTTTGTGATCACTTAGAAAAAAAAATCTCAATTGAATATTCATAGTCATCAATATCACTCACTAATATTTTGGTTTATCAGAAAAGCTTATAACTGTTTTAATTTGAATATTAACACCTTGATGTGTCCAGATTTTAGTCATGAACTTATATTACCATGTCAATTTTGAGATCAAATTCTTCAACAGAAAGTAGTAAGAAAATAATCTCACCTCACTTTTTTTGTCTCTTCCAGCTAAAAAATCAGAAAACAATGACACAAATTTTATATGCCTCTAAATTAAAAATTAAATAAATTTAATTTTTGGCAGCTTTAAATAAAATTTAATTGTAAGCTTACATAGTTATAGCATTTATTCCTCCTATGAAAATAATGATCAATGCACATCAATTTGAATTAAATAAATAAATATTTAAAAAATAATGATAAATTTTGACTGTTACTGTAAATGTCTCCATGACAAATACTTACCACACATACACAACACACACACACACACACACAGACCGGTAGTGTCCTCCCAGATAAATGATTGGAGCATTTTACAATGCATCAGTTGGGAGTTTCCCAAATAGGATATCTGGCAAACTGTCTAAAATATTATAGATAAACTCTGTCAATCACAACCCTCCCAACACTCCCAAGCTCAAAGAGTTTTCAATCAGAAGTATTTTACTTCTGAGCAGAGCCAATCACCAGTTCTAAACATTTGAAGAATAATTCCAACTTTCAAGAAATAAAACAACATCCAAAAACCTATAGAAAACAGCAATAGAACCAGAAACAAAAGAGAAACATGTAAAATGCTAATTAGTGATCTCATACAGATATAAAAAAGACTTAGCAGTTAATTAATAAGAGTAGCAGAAGTAAGCAAAAATAAGCAGAAGGGTTGGCTGGCAGAAAGAGATTTTAGGTGTCTTAGGGAAATAAAACAAAAAAGCAAGTAACTGGAGAATATATAAGTGGGGGAAAAAGAGCTAAAAGATTGATCCATGATGTTCAACTTCTAAATAAAGAAGATTCTACAAAGAAATAAGGAAACATGAAATAGGAAATTATCAAAAATATAACTGAAGAAAATTTTTCAGTACTGGAGGACTTAATCTCTCATTGAAAGGAGACCAGATGTTTACAGCAAATAATGAAATTATAGCCACTCCAATGCATCTACTTATAAATTTCAGAGAAGCACGAATATCAGCCCTAGAATTTTCCAGAAAAAAACACAACAAAAACAAAACTTACATTTCTTGATAGCAAAATGAGATAACAGAAGACATAAATGTAATTCCTTCAAACACCCAAAGAATATTGTTTGTTATTTAAAAATAAAAATGTAGGTTATTTAATTGATTTGTAAGACTTACTTTTACATACAAAGAAAATTTACACCATGTCTCCCTCTTAAGAAGCTCTTAAAAGTTATGCTTCAAGAGAAATAGAAGAATGCACAAAAGAAGGGAAAGACATAGAAAGAATATAGAAAAGCGTGAACAAATCCAAGAGATGGAAGAAGATAAAGCCAAGTTTTATATTCATAAGAGAAAAACTTACCTCATGAAGCAGGAGGGTATGATTTAGGTTTACAATTGTCAATGCTGAAAATTAATACAATGATTGACACACTAGAGAAGCTCAGCAATACATTTTGAGAAGTAGAAGACATGCACCCCCAAATCTAGACCTGTCCCAGAAAAAGTGGCAGCAGTAAAATGTAGCTACATTGGTAAGAAACAATATACAGAAAATATGTGCACTCTGGAGTCAGAATGTCACTTGCAAGTCATATGATTTTAATGTATTTTCTGAAGATGGACATAAAAATACCTTATCTTCTAGAATCTTATCCTTGAATTTCAGCAGGCTTGTGACCTGCTTGTAACCAGCACAAAGCAAAAGAAGTAATATTGCATGACTCCCAATGCTAGTTCATAAAAGGCAATTCAGCTTCCTCCTTATTAACTGGGTCAATTTCCCCCACCCCTCTTTGTAGTCCAGAGATAACATGGAGAAATCTGACAGCTCTGGGCTACTGTGCTGTGAGGAAATCCAGATCACACACAGAGGGCACCTGTAGGTGTTCTAGTTGACAGCCCCAACTGAGATTACAACCAAAAGCAACCATCAACTGCCAGATTTGTGAGTGGAAAAACCTGCAGATGATTCCTTGCAGATAACCACCCCCAACTCTGGTTAGTCCCATCATAAATTCCAGATAGCTTAGAAGAAAGACAAGCTATAGCTGCTGGACACTGTTCAAACTTCTGACTCATATAATACATGAGCATAATCAATAGTTCTTAAGTATTGGGGTGTTTTATTTTGCAGCAGTAGTAACCAGAACAGATAAATAACGTAATTTCACTGTGCTTCTGATTCCTTATCTGTTAAATGGGCATAGTAACACCTTAAAGACAGTGGTAAGGATTTTAAAATGTGTAACAGGAATTTGTAACAATGCCTAACACTAAACACTCAGTGTCTGTTGTTGTACTACAACAACAGTTGTTATTATTGTTATTATAAATATTATTCATCAACCTCAAAAATCTGGAGATAGGAAGTGAAACAGAGGTGTCTGGAGTACTGCCTATAACAATTAGCTGCTAAAGATTGCAGTATTATAAATCTTAGCAGAAATCATCTAAATCTTACTGGAGGCCTTGTTATTACACTTGGGTAAACAAACTATTTTTATGTCTTCCCTTTTGGCTTAAGACAATATAACATCTATGTTTCCACAAAGAGAAAGAGAGTGGGAAACAGAGAGAGGGGAAAGAGACTGAGAGAGATGTTGATTTTCTTTTCTTTTTTTTTTTTTTAATTTAAGGAAACCAGTTGAAGAATCCAAAAATGATGTAATTATATCAAAAAAGGGAAACTGGTGGCAGGAAATGAGCAGGCTCAATCATATCTGTCATAACAGAAAGTAAAAAAAGATTTTAAAATTATATTTTAAAATATGGTAGCTGAATTATATTAAAGATGATTTTTACAAAAAGTCATTACAACTAAACCCTCAATTGCTGGGGTCTGTCCTGCAGACTCTGACCCAACGATGGATGAATAACGTATACTGACACGGATATTTTGCCTGTCAGTCCCGCTGAGGGTCTGGGCCACTTACAGACACCAAGGAGGGTGCGTAAAGAGTTGCAGCCCCTGCGCCTCTCAGCCAGCAAAGCTCGCATTTATTTAGTAGAGATTAAATGACAAAGGTCTTGAGTAAACACCACTAGAGGGTAATTGACATAGCTGACCTCCCGCATAGAGAGCGATTATGCACCCGGGGTAATCAAAGGTTGGTCTTAGGAGTAAACAAGCTATTTAGATAAGCTCCCTTACATTCCTGTGTACCTCCTCTAAGTTATTTACTCAAGGTAAGGATTAGGCTGCCTTCAGCCAGATTTATTACTGGAGCTTATGCAAACCCCCGGCCTTCCAAGAAGGTTTGTGCCTATTTTTTGTAACTATCTTTAAAATGTTTCCCACTAGCCTGACTGAACTCCCACACTCAATTAAACGTTATTTATTGCCTTTAGAAAGACTGGGTGCCAAAAGTGTTGGATTGAGAGACCAAGGGAATCATTGCCAGTTATTGTAAGTTCTTTAGTTGTATTTGATTTTTATATTGTGTACTAGTCATTTTAATTAAAAGGTTGAAGATTTTCAATAAAGTGAAAGCCATGGTTATTTGAAAAGATATAGACCAAAAGCTACAAAGAGTCTCAAGGCACACTGTAATCTGATCTAAACTTTCTTTTGGTCAAGTAATGCTTCAAAGAACAGAAAGAAGCCTGTTGTTCTCAGGCTGAAGGCTGCTAGTATTTTTACAGAGAACAGGAAGCATCGAAGAAGTTCTCATCAAGTAAAGTAAAATGACATTTCCTGACAATATAAAGGCTGCCTGCAGAAGAATATGAAAGGAAATCCAGGAATCATCTTAATGTTTAAACAAAAGGAAAAATGTATCAAAAATCTCTTGGATTAAAAGTACCTTCAATGTCCATACAACAGATACAGACACAATCCCATGTTAAAAGAATAGACACTGTAATAATTGCCCCTATAAGCAAGAATCTTTGTTGCCCCTACAAGCAAGAATCTTTGCAATAGATGCAAAATCTTTAGAGATGCTTGAATTTTCAGAACCTCTGCCATCCTCCTGAAGTGAAAGTGGGTTTAAAATAAAAGATAATAAAATCTTCTGAATTAGGCAAATTTCCTGGGAAGTACAGCTATGAAGCATCCAAAAATAAGTATATCATCCTTAATCATTTTAAGAAAGCCAGAAAAAGCAATGGAAAGAAAATTAAATTGAATGTGTGGGATTCAAATACGGGAATGCAAATTGGACATACTTGAATGACTCTTAGTATAACAAGCTAATTTGGTGTTCCTTATGTAAATAAGTTCAAACAAATTGCAGAGCTTGAAAAGAAAATCAAGCCTCATGCCTGCAAAATCTCACATCAAAACCAAAAATGTTTTAAGTGGAATCATCTAGTATTATGCAAAAAGATAAAACCTTTCATGCTTACGTATTCATAAGCTGTACATTATACGGATCTACGTGCCTTATTGATGTTACTATATGCATTAATGAATGAAATGGCATTACTACAAATTTTGCTACTTCTAAATTCCTTTAATATTTTCTCTTTTGGCACAGTAAGACAATGAGGTTTTTCAAAACATTTGTCCTGTGCCACTACTTTTTACTTTGCCTTTTAGCTGATTTCTATTGTATTAATTTTACAGAAAATGTTTCTCGGGTAACACAGCATAAGACTTCTGAATTTGCAAGAAATTAAGCATTTAATAAAATAAAGTCCTTTGTTTGTTTTAATTTTTTAAAATAAAAGCTATTTTAAGACAAATAGCATGTGCTAAATAGGCTACAAGCCTTTTAATGCCTGTGTGCCCATATCCTGCAGCTCCCTTCTAAGGGATTGTTATGCTGACAGCCAAGCTAGAGACCACTTATTCTCACCCTTCTTGGCCACAGCTAATTGCAGCAAGCCTGATTATCTAACCCAAGAATTGACAATCTACAGGCTGATGGGCTACCTTTGAATTTGGTGCCTAAATTTTGCCCAAGAGGATCATGCTACTAACTGGACCAGTCAGGTCATCATTGTCTCTATGGAAGTAAGAAATTAAACCTTGAAGATACATGTTGTAGGTAGCAAGAATAGGAGCCAAAATATCACAAAATGCTAGCTGAAACTTAATAAAATAGGGCGTTAGAATACGGATCAGAAAACAGTAGTTAAGTGAATATCTTAGGTCAGTTTCCCCAGAAGCAGACTCTGAAACAACTTTGTGTGCAAATCATTTATTAAGGAATCAGTCCTAATAGACACTAATAAGGGGTAAGGAAAGCAGGACAGTGGAGAGGAAGATAATAATATGAACTCAGCCCCGTCCGGGAGGTTGGGGGCAGCCCCCGCCCGGCCGCCGCCCTGTCTGGGAGGTGAGGAGCCCCTCTGCCTGGCCACCACCCTGTCTGGGAGGTGTACCCAACAGCTCATTGAGAACGGGCCATGATGATGATGGTGGTTTTGTCGAATAGAAAAGGGGGAAATGTGGGGAAAAGAAAGAGAGATCGGATTGTTACCGTGTCTGTGTAGAAAGAAGTAGACATAGGAGACTCCATTTTGTTCTGTACTAAGAAAAATTCTTCTGCCTTGGGATGCTGTTAATCTGTAACCTTACCCCCAACCCCGTGCTCTCTGAAACATGTGCTGTGTCCACTAAGGGTTAAATGGATTAAGAGTGGTGCAAGATGTGCTTTGTTAAACAGATGCTTGAAGGCAGCATACTCGTTAAGAGTCATCACCACTCCCTAATCTCAAGTACCCAGGGACACAAACACTGCGGAAGGTGGCAGGGCCCTCTGCATAGGAAAACCAGAGACCTTTGTTCACATGTTTATCTGCTGACCTTCCCTCCACTATTGTCCTATGACCCTGCCAAATCCCCCTCTCCAAGAAACACCCAAGAATGATCAATAAATACTAAAAAAATTAAAAAAAAATAATATGAACTCAGGCAAAGCATCAAGTAGGTTTGCATGGGTCTGAAGGGGTTCCAGGACATGAGAATTTCAGTGCTAAAAGTGGAAACGTTGGGGGCATACTGGGATGAGTTGGTCACCCAGCTTCAGACTGCTCTGGCAGGGAATTCAGGAATGTAAATCGGGTCTCAGAGTTATCTGATGGGAGGCAAGAGAGTTAAGGTTCTTCTAACCTCAGGCCAGTTGGTCATTTTTTAAAGGACTGTCTTGAAGGAACATAATTTTCTAGGGATTTAGGGATTCCAGAACACGAGCAAAGAAAAGATCCAGTAGTCCAAAGCCTACTGAAAAATGTTTGCAAATTCTGGCTATTAGATGTGGAAAATGTCAAAGGAGGTGACAAACAAATTAAAAAACAAGCAAATAATACAACCCCTAAGGGATATGGGTGGAGCACTATTAATACGTAATCTGTCTCCAGAGCTATTTGGATCTCTATTTGGAGCTTTCCAGTTGTAAAAATAGATTCTAATCAAGGCTTCACTGTTCCTGGATCCCCAGTTGTACTCCAGAGATGTTTGCCTTCCCTATTTTTATATGTACTTTTTTCCAATAAACCTCCTAAATATAACCTGAAAGAATCTCTGTTTGTTGAAAGGTGAAGGATCTAATTAGCATGCAATATTTATTTGTGAGTATAAATCAACAAGGCAGAGACAGGAAGCCCAGCAGATATATGAACAAGGCGTATGATCATGCAATTCACAGAAGGGAAGCCCAATTGGCCCATACAGTTTTTGAAAATATGGTCTGAAAAAAATACTCAAATTTACTATTATTTGGAAATATGCAAATTAAAATTCAAAAGAATGTTAAAAAATGACTAATTTGGATAACAGCAAGTGTTGCCAAGATCGTGGAATTTAGACGTTCTGATACTCTGCTGGTGCAAATACTAACAGGTAGAGTCATTTTGGAAAACAATCTGATAGTATTTAATTACATACTCATATATCCAGTGACTTATGATGTATGTAATTACGTTAAACACACTTCGGCACAGAAAGTATTAATTCATGTATATGTCAGTTTGATTTGTAACCTTGATGGGATTGTTGCAATAGGTAGTTAGAGGGACATGAGCAGGGGAAGAGAGGCTCCCCACCCCCAAGGAATGTCAGGACCATCAGGTGACGGTCAGGAGGTTGTTAAACTGTCTCTCTAAAATAGTAATTGGTTGCGACCGGCACCAGAGAAAGGTAGTCTCCCAGTAGAGAGAAAACACCTGAAGCTGGTGATCAGCAGCTTCTCTATAAGATCTCAGGAGCTAGGTGAGCAGGCTCAAGCATGCACATTAAGAGGCAAAATGGCAGAGTTTAACCAGTATATGACCTTCCTCTAGGAATGCTCAACTGGTAAGGGAAAAACACCTCAAGCGAGCATCCACACAACTTCAATAAACACACTGCATGCGGCCCCTCCCAAGTGCTGGCTGGCCTCCATGCATGAGGACAGTCCAACCCAAGGGAAAAATCAAGGGAGGAGAAATGGAAACCTCCAACTATGCCAATGTATAAAACCCCAAGTCAAGGGCCAAACAGCGCACTTGGATCTCTCAAGTCACCCACTTGGCTCTCTTCCAAGTGTATTTTACTTCCTTTCATTACTGCTCTAAAACTTTTTTTTTTGAGAGGGAGTCTCCCTCTGTCGCCCAGGCTGGAGTGCAGTGGCGCGATCTCGGCTCACTGCAGGCTCTGCCTCCCGGGTTCACGGCATTCTCCTGCCTTAGCCTCCCGAGTACCTGGGACTACAGGCTCCTGCCAGCACGCCCGGCTAATTTTTTTGTATTTTTAGTAGAGACGGGGTTTCACCGTGTTAGCCAGGATGGTCTCGATTTCCTGACCTCGTGATCCGCCCGCCTTGGCTTCCCAAAGGCTGGCGCCTGTAATAGGCGTGAGCCACGGCGCCCGGCCTCTAAAATTTTCTAATAAACTTTCCCTCTTGCTCTAAAACTTGCCTTGGGCTCTCACTCTGCCTTATGTACCCCTGCCGAATTCTTTCCTCTGAGGAGGCAAGAATCAAGTTTGCTGCAGACCTGTCGGACTTGCTGCTGTTAACAGGATCGATTGCCCTAATTGGGAATGCAGACTCTGTCACTGGTCAGCTAGAATTCTAATCAGGAAGTCACCAGGAGTTATCTACTACAAAAATTTCAATGATTTTTATTTCCTACACTAGAGGATTTGCTAAGTTGCTTGATATATATTGGAAATGGATTTTCATTGGTAAAATTAATAGTATCACGATCTTTCTCATCCTTGCACAAATGGCATTAAGAGTTTAGTGAGTCAAGGACATTGTACCCTTTGGTTGTGGTACGTAATACTTGATCCTTAAAATGTCTTTCATCCTTTTGTAACGCCTCATGTTCTTGTCTAGCCACGTCAAAGAATTGGTGTGGCGGCTGACCGCGGCAAGTGGTAGAGACACGGACCGAGGGCAAGAAAAAGCTGTAGGCTTTATTGAGCAGAGTGAAAGTACAAAGATTCCACAGCCTGGTCCCGAACGGGTAGCCAGAGTTAGATTATACGATTGCCTTTTAAACTCTTTAAGGTGGGAAATACGTGCAGCAGGAAGAAGTTACCAGAGCGAGAAACAAAGACAATTAACCATTTGTGACATGTCTTAGATCTTGAGGAAAACCAGAATTGCGGCTTAGGTTTTATTTACCTTATGATCTTGCAGGAGCATGGCAAAGGAGACAGGATCTTACAGGACTTTACAAAGTATGTTCACAAGGAATTGGAACTGGGAGTATAGATAAGGTCCACTGGTCACAAAAAAATGGGCAGTTAACATTTCTTTTACTTTAGTTTCAGGGGAGGGGGAAGGGAGAGAGGGAGAGAAGACACAGGGAAACTTACAGCAAAATTTTTGCTGTTTATAGCTTTCTTGGGGAAGAAAACACGCACAAAACCTGGTGTTAGGAATAGTTTAAGCATATGTCTTCCATATTATTCATCCAGGACTGAAGTAAGTCCCGATGCAGGAAATGAGTGAGTTTCACAGCTTTCTGAGCCCGTACTCAACCCAGGAAGCCCAGCTGGCACCTCCTCTCACTTTCACTAGTTCTCCGAGGATTTTGAGTTTTTTTACTTCAATGGATGGTGGGCCATAGTCTTCCATTGGAATCTTGTTTTGTTTTCTTGAAGTACAACTTTCAAATAAGATCTTTTTGAGGCACCAAAGAAGACAGGAAGCTTGGATTTTCATTGAGTTTATACAAAATATTACATGACCTCCTGTTGTCTGTGTGTAGCAGAATGTGCCATGAGACTCACATTCATGGTAACTTTATGATAAGAGTGTAGAAAAGCAGTTGATCCTAATCTGCATTTAACTATTGCTGGGTTTTGAATTCTATCACAAGTAAGCTAATGGTCCTATAGGCCAAGGTGAAAGGCCAGTTCAGTGGTCTGTAAACATTTTGCTTATAATTCCCTAAATGACTATGTATAAACTGTGTTCTCTCACAAACATTAGTTAACTTTCAAAAGTTGTCTTAATTTCAATGAGACAGAATTTCTAGATTTTTCTAAATATTGGCATTAAAAAATAAATTGTAAGATACTCTATTCAATGTATCCAATAGAAATTAAGTAGTTTACAATTATGCACTTGAAAGAATTAGAACAGCATATCAACATCTGAGAAAAAGACGTATCCTAATTAAACTACTCAGGTTTTATAAAATTCAGGGACAATTTTTTTAAGATAAGACTTTGGGAGCATTTTCTCTGAAACTCTAATAGAAGTTCTGCCTTGAAGCCTGCAACTGAATGATCTTTGTTGAAATAAATAGCAACCCAAGGAATGGCATTGGTCCACTGGTAATTTTAAAGCTTACCAAATGTGTATTGATTATTTTAATAAATACATTATTGACAGCAGATTTCAAAGCTTGTTTCCATTTTGTTAATCTAAATGTAACAAATACATGGTGTCAAATCTGTTAACATTCCATTGGCCAAAACACGTCATATGCCAGACCCCAAAATCAAAAAGCAAGGAAAAATGCTTTTTTAAGGAGAAAAATAGAGAAGTCATGTAGCAAAGGGCAGGATACAGGCAGAGGTAAAGAACTGGTGCTATTTCTGCAATAGGCTCTTGCACTGTTCTGAATGGAGCAAGCATAAAGAGACCAAATGCCTTTTACTTCCAAATTTTAAGGTAATTATTTCCAATCAGATGAAAAATGAACCAATCACTTTGATGAGGCAACTCAAATTCTGTGGTGAGGAGCAAGACATGGGTTAAGAGGCTAAAATACCTTAAGGAAAATTCTTTCTCTTTTAACCAGAAAATAAAAATAAAATAAAATAAAGTAAAATAAAATAAAATATAAAATAAAATAAAATATTCTTCTTTGATCTATAAGAACAAATGTGTATTTTTATTTGAAGATCATTCTTATCAAAAACTATCAATTTGGCATTTATTAAATATTGAATTAATTTTCTCACAATCCTTATCATTTTATTTTTTTAGGTTGCTGGTGAAAATGAGAAAAGCATTGACTATTAGAGTAAGCATTTGTAATAGTCTATGTAACACTGGTAAGAGTTAACAAATGAAAAATAAAAATAGGCCACAAATGAAAATGTTTATATTGTATTCGGATTTTTGTTTTGCATTCTTTTTATTTTAGTGTTCTTGTTTACTTAATCAAAATAAATGTGTGCTTGTTTCTGAAAGCATATAATAATTTTGATTACCCCATTAAAGGGAGCCAAACAGAGACATTTCATGGTTGAAGTAACTCCTTTAAAGCATATTATTTGAAATGCTAGACAGTATCTGGAAAAGAACACTGCCTTTCTAATCTGCTTCTGGGAACCTCCTATGAACCAGCCATTGTGCTGCTTCAGGCAGAAGAGATCATCCGCAATTGTTCCTGGTGATTCATGCACCATCTGAGTTCCTTAACATAAGCAATGACTTCCAGTCCTTCCTACCCAAAGGCTTTTCTGTAGTTTTGTAATCCTCTAATTCTCTGTATCACACTCATTCTTGCCTGAAATGTTTGGAGTAGTTTCTGTACTCCTATGCGACGCTGGCTGATGTAGTCAGTATTCGCTACTAGAAGTAGATCTAGGTCCATCAGAAAACTCCTATGACTACCCTACAAGAATATCTTCTGCTGGGCGCGGTGGCTCATGTCTGTAATCCTAGCACTTTGGTTGGCCGAGGCGGGTGGATCACGAGGTCAGGAGATGGAGATCATCCTGGCTAACACGGTGAAATCCCATCTCTACTAAAAATACAAAAAAAATTAGCGGGGCATGGTGGTGGGCACCTATAATCCCAGCTACTCGGGAGGCTGAGGCAGCAGAATTGCTTGAACCTGGGAGGCAGAGGCTGCAGTGAGCCGAGATCATGACACCGCACTCCAGCCTGGGCGACAGAGTGAGACTCCGTCTCAAAAAAAAAAAAGAATGTCTTCACCCTTGTGCCCCAAGGACATTGTTTACCAAAGCAAACCTAATTTTATCTTGGTACTTACATAATTACAGTGCAAGTTGAATTCATAGTCTTATCAGATTTCCTTTATGAAAATCAGGACACAGTTGTCCTGAAGAACTGAACTTGAGTAATATGGATGGATTCAGAATGATTTGTTTATCCTTATGCTTTGGGTTCTGTTGTGCCTGTCTAGAAGAAATTGGCTGGCTTCCTTGGTCTCAGGATTAGATTCCTTCTCTTGGAAACCTTTTATTATTTTGATTTGAGGCAGTTATCCTATTCTTTGAAATGTGATTTCCCTACTTCTTGTTGTCTCTAGACCCATAACTAGAGTTAGATCTCGGCATGCTGCATGTAAACAACTAGAAAGTGTGTAAAACATTAAGATCCCAAACTATAAAACCACTGTGGAAAAACGTAGAGGAAATAATTCAAGACATCAGTCTAGCAAAGATTTTATGGCTAAGACCTCAAAAGCACAGACAACTAAAACAAAATAGATAAATCAGATTATATTAAACTAAAAAGCATTTATAGAGCAAAGGAAACAACAGAGTGAAGAGATACCTCTTGAGTGGGATAAAATATTTGCAAATTATTCATCTGACAAGAGACTCATATCCAGAATATACAAGGAACTCAAGCAAACCAACAATTTAAAAAGTCCCATTAAAAAGCAGGCAAAGGAATAGATATTTCTCAAAAGAAAACATACAAATGGCCAACAGGTATATGAAAAATTGTTCAACATCACTAATCAGGGAAATGTAAATCAAAACCACAATAAGATATCACCTTACTCCAGTTAGAATGGCTGTTATTAAAAAGGCAAAACATAGCAGATGCTAGCAAGGATGGAGAGAAAAGTAAACGTTTATACACTGTTGGGAATGTAAACTAGTGCAGCCACTATGAAAAACACTATGAAGATTTCTTAAAACTAAAAATAGAACCACTACATGATCCAGGAATCCTACTACTGGGTATTTATCCAAAGGAAAAGAAATCTATACATCAAAGGGTTACCTGCACTTACGTGCTTACTGCAGCACTATTCACAATAGCAAAGATATTAAATCAATCTGTGTCTATCAGCAGACAAATGGATAAAGAAAATATGGCATATATGCACAATGCTATTCTATTTGGAAATAGAGAAAGAATTAAATTATGCTATTTGCAGCAACATGGATAGAACTGGAGGACATTATATTAAGTGAAATAAACCAGGCACAGAAAGACAGATACAGTGTTCTCACTCACATGTCGGAGCTAAAATAGTTGATCTCATGGAAATAGAGTCTAGAATGATAGATACCAGAGGGTGTGAAGGGTGGGTGGGTGGGAGTGGGGGATAAAAAGAAGTTGGTTACTGGGTGCAAACACTGAGTTAGATAGAAGTAATCTCCAATATTCTTTGGTAGAGTAGGCTGACTACAGTTAGAAACAATGTATTATATATAACAAAGTAGCTAGAAGATAACACTGGAAATGTTCCCAATACATAGAAATGATAAACACTCAAGGTAATCAATACCCCAAATACCCTGACTTGATTATTACACATTCTATGCATGCAATAAATACTCACATGTACCTCACAAATATATAAAATATTTTGTAGCAATTTTAAAATGTATGTGAAAGTAAAAGGGAAAGATAGCATGAATACCAAAATAATCACAATGTATTTTTAATTTATTTTAATTCAAACCTGAGGAATACTGGTGGGAATGGATTCTAAGGGTGTTAAACTGGGGAGGAACTCATCTAACATTCTATCAGGCAGAAGATATTAACAGACTACATTTATGAGAAGTTCTTTCTTTAATGAGTAAGCTCAAGCAGCTAAGAGTAGTTCCAATAGTTAATTGTTTGATAGACATCTGGACTCAACTGTGTCCTATATTAGTGAACTTGAGATTCCAGAACTTTGTGTATTCCAAAGAAGTCAAAAGAAAAAAGGAGATAGAAATGTTGTAGTAGCTTTATTATGTGGATCTTGTTCACCCAATGCCTGCTATACACCCTAAGAAGTCCCAGAATATATTCCTTCTGCAGCACTAAGACATATCGTCGGGAAGGGATCTCTACTGCCCTTGGAAAGCTCTAAAGTGGTTCTTTGCAGGTCAGGAATTATGGCAGATATGATTCAATAAAACATACTCCTTGATTTTATTGGGGAAAAGTGGAATCTGAGAGCGACAGAGGCTAAGTGTCAGCACTTAATCTCTAGATATAAGGTGGCCTCTGATTCTGGAATAGGCATGAAAGTTGGAGCAATAACCAGAACAATGTAACCTGTAGAGATCTTTAGAGGCAGCTAACTGCTGATGTCAATTAGATTGATGGGAAGCCTACAGAAATCTCACTGGATCTCTAAAATAAATACACGTAACTCTAGGTTTTTAAACAGACCAGATATGTGTCACTGCAGTTGCCCCTAAATCAGTTTCCAGACCCATGCCATTTCACAGATCTGAAGCCACTTGAAGGGGAGGATGAATATTATTGAGGAAAGGCCATGCAAAAGCACAAGTATGAGCTGTGAATCTCCCTCTAATCTCCCTGAAGGGGACCTGTAGCCATTCTACCATGGTGACTAGGCACCAGGGAAAGAGAAACACTGAAAACTGGTTCTAAGATAAAGTTAATATCTGGGGATCCAAAATATCATAGTGCTCCACTAGTTAAAGGAAAGGCCTACTGGAAACGCTCCCAATACATAGTAGTAAACATTCAGGTAATAAATGTTTCACCCAAATGTTTCACTGTAGGCCCATTTAGTCTGAGAGTCAACCTTCTGCTAGTTTTCAAATTTGCAGTTTGGCAGAGACATATTCTTCAACTTGCAAAATCCCCACCTTGGTTCTCTGAATGTGGATTGAGGGCTATGGTGGTAGGAAAAGTGAACAGGAAGCCCTGGAATTGGCTTCCCTTCCAAATAATCAATCAAAAGTAATACTGCATTCCTGAGGGAATGGTAAAGGGCACTGCTTTTACCAAAGACCAGAAGAATGTAGGGGTAGTGATTCCTTTAGTTAATCTTTATTGAACCCACCTATTTATTCTGTGTGGAAGACAGATTTATCTTGGAAAATAACAATGATTTATTGTAGACATTTCAAGTGGTAGCTTCAACTGCAACTGTTGTTTCAGATGTGATCTCATTATGGAATGAAATCCACAGAGCTCATGGCTTGCAGCTATAGATCACTAAGAGCCTTTTTTCTTCTACATGCTGATTACCAAAGACAATTGGATCAGTTTATTTTCATGTGGCAGAAAGAGTACCATACCTTCTCTGTCCTTACTTAGGGCTACATGATCTTGTTATGTCATAACCTAGAGCACAAAATAATTAGTAGATGTTCTTACAATACCACATTGACCATCATATTTAGTCCTACTGAACAGGAAGTAGCAAATATCTTAGATGTCCTGGTAAGATACATGCATACCAAAGAGTGGGAGGTATATCTCCGTGAATATTAATGAGCCACCCATCTTAGGAAAGTGTCTAGAGGTCCACTGTCCTGGATATATTAAGATGTTAACTTCAAACATAAAGATATATTGTTATATATATTGTATCTTGTAACTCTTCCCACCAAGAGAAAAGACATTAGGTTTGGTGGGTATCTGTGTATTTTGGAAGCAACATATAAAGCAAGTGAGTTTGCTGCTCCAACCCAATTACTAAGTACCTATAAGGCCACCAGTTTTGGATGGGCCCAGAGCAAGAAAAGACCACAGTTACATGCCACTTTGCAACTTGACTTAATGACCCAGTAGACACCATGGTGCTCAAAGTATCTGTGGCATATAGGTTGGTTGTATGGGGCTTCTGACAAGCCTTGATAAGACCAATGCACAAAAGCAAGTGCCATGCTTACTTCTGAAAAGAGCTAATTTCCTTGAGAAAGCCTCTGGCTTGCTACTCATTCCTGGTTGAAATTGACAATCTTATAAACATGAATTGTTGCCTGACTTTCCAAGTGGTTGAGAGTATAAAGCAGCACGTTATTATCAAAGTGAAATATTTCATGCAAAATTGGGTTCAAGCAAGTTTTGGAAGCAAAAGTAGAGCTACATGAGTAGGTGCTTCATATTTTCATGGCAACTACTCCACTCAAACCGCATTTCACTTTCTCACCATCCTAAACAAATACCTCATTGGTAATTTCTTATGACAAGTTGACTGAAGAAAAAAATGTAGGCTGAATATTAATATCAAACAGAAGTGGACTGTTGTTGTACTATTTCAGCCCCTGAAGGTTAGCGAGAGTGGAAAATCCTCCAATGGGCAATGCTCCAGTAATCTCTTTATTCACATTTCATGGAGTAAAAGAGGGATTACGATTTCTCTACCCTCATTCCTGGGCTAATAATTTTTCTTACGATCTCTTAGGAATAAAAAGATGAGAGAATTGATGACATGGAGGTCTGTGAATAAACTGTTTAAAGTGGGTGCAAAGTTTGCATACAGGCACATCCCAATTTATTATTCATCATCTTGTTGAGCTTCAGAGATATTGCATAGTTTACAAATTGAAGTTCTGCTCCCACAAGTATATCAGCACTACTTTTCAAACAGCGTGTGCTCACTTTCTGTCTCTGTGTCATATTTTGGTAATTCTCACAGTATTTCAAACTTTTAAATAATTATTTTATATTTAATGGTGATCTG
This sequence comes from Homo sapiens, assembly GCF_000001405.40. Lineage (NCBI taxonomy): Eukaryota > Metazoa > Chordata > Mammalia > Primates > Hominidae > Homo > Homo sapiens. The sequence goes on along the minus strand of NC_000004.12, from coordinate 155,414,192 downwards.
TAATCAGGCATCTTTGATATTACTATTGAATTGCTTTGGGGTACCACACACTGAGCCCATATAAGACAGCAGACTCAATCAATAAATATTGTATGTGTTCTCAATGCTCCACTGCTCAGCCATTCTCCCATCTCTCTCCCTCTGCTCAGGCCTGCTTATTCCTTCAGACACACAGTATTGATATTAGCCTGATAAATAAACTTACAATGGCCTCTAAGTGTTCAAGTGAAAGGAAGAGTTGTACATATCTCACTTTAAATCAGAGGCTAAAAATGATTAAGCTTAGTGAGAAAGACATGTCAAAAGCTGAAATAGGCTGAAAGCTAGACCTCTTGTGCCAAACAGTTAGCTAAGCTGTGAGTGCAAGGGAAAAGTTCTTGAAGGAAAATGAATGTGCTACACCAGTGAATATACAGCTTTATTGCTGATATGGAGAAAGATTTGATGGTCTAGATAGAATATCAAACCAGCCACAACATTCCCTTAAGCCAAAGCCTAATGCAGAACAAGGCCCTAACTCTTGAATTCTATGAAGGCTGAGAGTGGTCAGGAAGTTGCACAAGAAGAGTTGGAAGGTAGCAGAGATTAGTTCATGAGGATTAAGGAAATGATCTCCGTAACATAAAAGTGCAAGATGAAGTAGCAAGGGCTGATAGATAAGCTGCAGCAAATTATACAGAAGATCTAGCCAACATCATTCATGAATTGAATGGCTACATTGAACAATAGATTTACCATGTAGATGAAGCAGCTGTACTGGAAGAAAATGCCATCTAGGACTTTCATAGCTAGAAGAAAAGTCAAGCCTGGCTTCAAAGCTTCAAAGGACAAACTGGCTCTCTTGTTAGGGGCTAATGCAGCTAGTGACTTTAAGGTGAAACCAATGTGCATTTACCTTTCAAAACATCCCAAGGTCTTAAGAATTAATGTTAAATCGACTCTGCCCATGCTCTACAAATGGATCAACAAAGCCGGGATGATGGTACATCTCTTCACAGCATGGTTTACTGAAGATTTCAAGGTTACCATTGAGAAGTATTGCTCAAAAAAACAAAAAAGATTCCTTTCAAAATATTACTGCTCATTGACAATGGACCTGGTCACACAAGAACTCTGATGAAGATGCATAAGGGGATTAATGTCTTTTTATGCCTGCAAACACACCATCCATTCTGTAACCCACTGATTGACAAGTAACTTTGATTTTAATGTTGTATTATTTAAGAGACATATTTTGTAAGGTTATAGCTGCCATAGATAGTGATTCCTCTAATGGTTCTGGGCAAAGTAAATTGAAAACTTCTGGAAAAGATTCACCACTATAGGTGCCATTAAGAACACTTATGATTCATGGGAGGAGGTAAAAAAAAAATCAACATTAACAGGAATTTTAAAGAAGTTGACTCCAACTCTTGTAGATAACTTTGAGGGGTTTAAGATTTTAGTGGAGGAAGTAACTGCAGATGTAGAAATAGCAAGAGAATTAGCATCAGGGGTGGAGCCTGAAGATGTGACTGAATTGCTGCAATCTCATGATAAAAGTTGAATGGATGAGGAGTTGCTTCTTACAGATAAGCAAATAAAGTGGTTTCTTCAGGTGGAATTTACTTCTGGTGAAGATGGTGTGAACATTGTTGAAATGATAAGAAAAGATTTTAAGTATTACATAAACTTAGTTGTTAAATAGCAGCAGGGTTTGAGAGGATTGACTGCAATTTGGAAACAAGTTCTACCGTGGATGAAGTGCTAACAAACAGTATTGAACACTGCAAAGAGATCTTTCGTGGAAGGAAGAGTCAATCAATGAGGCAAACTTCATTGTTGCCTTATTTTAAGAAATTGGCACAGCCACTTCAGCCTTCAGCAATGACCATCCTGATCAGTCAGCAGAATCAGCCATGAACATTGAGGCAAGGCCTTCCACCAGCAAAAAGATTATGAATCCTTAATTCTCAAATGATCATTAGTATTTTTTATCAATAATGTATTTTTAAGGTATGTCCAATTTTTTACACAAATGCTTTTATGAATTATGAATGAATATGAATTATTCATAATGATGAATCCTTAATTCTTAAGATTGAGAATTTATGAATTCTTAATTCTCAAATGATCATTAGTGTTTTTTATCAATAATGTATTTTTTAAGGTATGTCCAGTTTTTTAGACAAAAAGCCATTTCACACTTAATAGACTACAATATAGTATAAATATAAGTTTTATATGCATTGGCAAGCCAAAAATCTTGTGTGACTCACTTAATTGTGACATTTCCTTTATTGTGGTGGTCTGAAACCAAATCCACTATATCTGAGTGTGCATGTGTTTTTGCTTTAAATGAATCCTCTATGTAAAAGCCAGGACTGTTAATAGTCTGTGAACATTAGCCAGTCTTTTTCAGCCACCACAGTGTTTGCCCAAAGGAATCCTGAATAAGTGGCTGTCGCAGCCAGGATGGAGGTTATGCATGAGCTAGCAAATTAAACTCACCTTCGTCATGGCTGATTTGACTATTTTTACTACTGAATGCCTAACCTTGCAACAGCAGACACTAACACCAAGTCTTTGCTAGGGCACCATATGCAGAGGTGACCAATTGGCCACCTTTATTCAGTATGGTTGTTTTGAATTGTACCCATCATGGAATGAGTTGATATTTGTGCTCAATAGAATATGCATATTTATTCTGTATCTGGATTTGTCTTCTCTGTTTAGATTCCTGTGTCAGCGTCACCACCCATTTGAGGAATTCCTTTTACAGAAGAAATCAGGGATGCACTGGCCTGACCCCATGAGATTCATGGTTGTATCATGAATCTCCTTACTGCAAAGCAACGTGCCTAATATTGCAATTGAATGTCTTATTGAAGATTCAATGGCTGCATTGATCAGGGCAGGGTGCTCGCCTACAAGAGGCAATGCATGCCGTGAACCAGTTCTGCTATCTATGGCTGATTCTCCCAGAGGTAAGTCAGGTTCAGGAAAAAAGGGTTGAAGTAGAAATGAATAAATAATCTGAACACTTTGTGCTTTCTGTATCTGAAACATTAGGTTCTGCTCATATGAAGATCTTGTTTCCTAAAGGATTAATGCTTGTATAACTAGACAAAACAATGGTTCCATTGAACTGGAAGCCGAGACTGTGACCTGGCCATTTTGGACTACTTTTGCCACCACAAAAACACTGGAGTGATTTATCTTAATTATCAAGGGGAGAAATAGGGTTGTTTCTACACAATAGAGACAGGGAGGGGTTCATCTGGAACCTACAGTATGTATTATATGACATAGAATAGGTGATTGACTATGTAATAAAAAACACATAAGGTATGTCACACATAAATATTTATTCACAAGTCCATAATACTCATTGACTCTTCATGCTATGCATCAGGGGAATGTGTTACACGTTTATCTCCTTTAACTTTTTGACACCAGTCAGAAACAGATATTTCCAATTTTTTTTTCTGTTTTGCAGAAGAGGACACTGAAGCTCAGAGAGGTTGAGTAACTTACCCAAAGTCACAAAGCTACATCATGGAAGAGCCAGGGTTTGAGCACAGGGTCCTGATCCTAAAGCCAAAATTTATTTAATACATTCACAAAAACGAAGTCTCACTATTTAAGACACACAAACACAGTGGCAACTTGCAACTTCTTGTTGAAATTCCAGATGTAAAGAAAAGTAATAATATAAAACAAGTATTTAAAAACAGAAATTATAAAACTATAATTTTATATATAGTCATAGAAATTACAAAAAGAAAAAACATCAGGAAAACAGTGGATTTAAATCTATTGAGATAATAGCAGAAATTAATGAATCAGGACCAAACATGACATAAATCTAAGATCTGGTTCTGTGAATAAATGAAATTTGATAAATTTAAATCTAGTTTTGACAAGGATCAAGAAAATTTATAAAACTGTCCACTGATTTAAGAACAAAACAGTTGGTGACAGAGCGACAGGTGTAGTGTAATCTGTACAATATTATTTCTGTTCATTGATTACAATTCTTCCATCTCTGACATTGATTTACAACCTTGCTTATTACCTTCCTTCTGATCTTTCCCTCTCTAAAATATAATTTAATTCATTTTTCTTGCAAAAATATATTTTCTTCTACTTAATGCCATAAACGTCCAACAATAAGAATATTCTAAACTTGAAGGGAACGTTAGTAATTCATGCCATCTTTGAAACACACACAAGACATTCTGTCTTGAGATCTCTCTTGGCTCCCTGAAAGAGTAATATTAGCACCTACAAATAAATAAGTAAAATCCAGAATACAGAAAGATAAGCAGAGGCAAGTTCACAGATTTTTAAATAATTCATGCTGAAAAAGATATGAAGTACAGATTACTGAAATAGGCATGGAGCTGATTGAAGAAATAGTCTGTTTCTTGAAGACAAAGTTAGCACCATTATTATCATTACCATAATCTAAAAGTACTTAAGCTCTCATAAATTCATTGCACTCTCCTGGGAAAAGACTGTTAAAGTTTACCCCTCTCCACTAAGAAATACAAAACTGAAAAGAAATACAAATCGTATATAAAGTAACATTTAACTAAAGAGACATGTAACTACCTAAGATTTACAGCACACATACACACCACACATACACACACACACACACACACACACACACACCAACACTCCACATAATATCACTTAATTACATCAAAGTTATATATAAGAATTATTTTGCCTTCCTCTATAAATGCCCCCATATATTAGAGATTAAATGATAGAATCTCTTTATTTTAAGATTAGGACAGCAAGGAATAAAGATGGATACACACAGAGAAATTATCATACCATATTGGGTTAATAATGAAAAGTTTCCTGGAGGATGAGAAATGGGAAAGGCTTTTGAATGATAGTATGTAGGAAGATTGGAATAAGAGATATTTCTCTTTAAAAAATGCTTCCAAAATGAAGTATATGTACAACAATAAAGCATAGATTGTCCAAAAAGAGTGAGACAGCAGGATCAGAAGCAGTTTTGCAGAGAGTTATATATTTCTTTTAATGTTCATTTACAATTTTATTACTATAATTTACATTGACTCATGGGAGATTAGTTATTTGTAATGTTTAGTCCATTTCCAGTTACAAGGTGTCACAGGAAATGAAATTGTCTTTTAGTAATAGTAGACAAATTAAGTATTATGGTGTTAGGGAAACTAGTTTTCAGGTTTCACAAAACCCCAGGAAATTACTTTAACTTTCTTTTTCTGTTCTCATTGAAAAGAGTAGTCTATATTCAACACCTCAGTGGCTATCAACATTTTTGTCACTGAATACTGTAAAAAATATATTTTATACCACAACCCAAGTGCACCTATATACATATACACATAAATGTATCTTATATATGCACGTAAATGTACATGATCTATTTTACATACACAGTTTATTTTTATATATGGAAACAAAGTCTTTCTGAAATGGTCCATACCTTTTCAATTTGTAATGCACTATTTTTGTATTAATCTAGTCTAGTTTATGCTAGAAACTTCTTTTTAATCATGATTCCAATTAAATAAGTGTGATGACACACTAGATGGCCCCCACTCTTAATTTGAAAGATGTTGCACCTCTTAGTACAGCACTCACTGGTTTAGTCTACAGCATTTTCTTTCCACCCTCGGTGCATTACTCTGCAGTTTTCAAGCTCTTCTTCTATCCGTACATATCCACATTGCTTCTGTTTTAAGTATACAGGTTAATCAATATCAAATCGGTTTGTTGAACATATGAGGTAATCATCAATTTTTCTTTTTTTGTATATAGTCTGACTGCTCAACTACACTGACTTTCTAGAGAGTAATAGCAACTGTATTACAGCTTTCACTGCATTGCTCCCAATTCTATTCATATTGAAAGTGTTAAAAATTTAAAGCACTCCATATATTTCCTTCTTTCAAGATTTAGACTTATTAGCCGGGTGTTGTGGCGGGCGCCTGTAGTCCCCGCTACTCGGGAGGCTGAGGCAGGAGAATGGCGTGAACCCGGGAGGCAGAGCTTTCAGTGAGCCGAGATCGCGCCACTGCACTCCAGCCTGAGGGACAGAGCGAGACTCTGTCTCAAAAAAAAAAAAAAAAAAAAAAGATTTAGACTTATTTTGACATGGATATAGAACATATGCTTGAGTTTTTATAGGAATAAATACAATAAAGGTAGTATAATAGAAACATGGCAAAATCTAATTCCAGAAAATAGAAAGCAATGCCTAAAGTGACAAATACTTTACATAGCAAGAGTAGAATCCTATTTAAAAACTGGTAAAGTTTTTCTGTGTGTGTAACAAAAGCATAATCATGAAATCAAGCAGAGATAAATATTCTCACCAATAACAAAATGTCTAAAGTTAAAAAATAAAATAAATGGGAACACATTTATTGGTGTTTCCTGTAATAGAAATGTAGTTTATTCTGGGATTTTGGATAATTCAGTATGTAATACTCCAAAAAAGAATGCTTACATTCCATGAAATTTAGTCAGCTAAGTCTATCACTGTCTCCTAATTAATCTTAAAACCATTCGGACTATTTCCTTTTGCACTTTTACTCCATGCCTAAATGCTTTATTTGCTAAAATAAAAGAAAATTATTCATGCCTTTTAATAGTTCAATTACTGAAATGTCTAGTAATAGTAACCTTTTGTAGTGCAATTCTGTCCTCCCCAAAAATACCTTAATCAAGTTTTAAATATAATAGAGTTCAGGAACTTTTAGAAAGAAAAAGCACCTTCCAAAAAATCACAGCAGAGAGTGGGCAGATCACCTCAGGTCAGGAGTTTGAGACCAGCCTGGCCAATATGGTGAAACTCCATCTCTGCTAAAAATACAAAAATTAACTGGGCATGGTGGCATGTGCCTGTAGTCTCAGCTACTCGGGAGGCTGAGGCAGGAGAATCACTTGAACCCTGGAGGCGGAGGTTGCAGTGAGCCAAGATTGCACCACTGCACTCTGGACTGGGCAACAGAGCGAGACTCTGTCTCAAAAAAAAAAAAAAAAAAAAAAGAAACCTCATCAAATAAGATGAGATTGTCTTCCTAAGAAAGAATTCTTCGCAATAGAAATTGAATCTATTTCTGAACCACAATCTATTCCTTCGTTCCCTTTGCAGCATAGCAATATCAAGGCTTACTTAGACTTGATTCTCTTTTCCTTCAGCAGCCATTGCCAAAGACAAGAGAACCAAGCCTAAGTAAGCCCTGATATTGCTATGCTGCCTTGGGAAAGAGGGAAAAGATTGTGGTTCAGAAATAGATTCAACTTTTCTAAAATTGTCCCACAGAAAATAGCAAAATCACCTTGCATTGAACCTGATTAGAAATGTACTCATGGATGTGGATAAATTAAATATCCTAATATTCTTTTTAGTAATGACTTGTATAAACACGTGCCAAGCAGATATACTTGTAACATTTAAATATGAAACTGAAAAATAGTATGTTGGATGATAAAATAGAACTCAATAAGTTACCTATAGATTGAAAGATTGAAAAAGAGATGTCCCAAATCAAAAACAGTCTTTAACACATTAAAATTTAAAATCCTACATTTGAGTTTAAAGAATATTTGAATCCTATGGGATCTGGATAGCTTTAGCATTTTGGTTGATTACACGTACACAAGGTAAACGAAGAGTGGAGCCTATCTGCCAGGAAGATGCTAATGTAAGCTCAGGCCATGTTAGCAGTGTCCATACCTAAAAAAGGGATTATTCCTTGTTCAGGTTAAATAATATCTGGGTTACTCTGTTTACCTTAAGGTACAACTCTTAAGGGATGAAATCAAATGGATTATCCAAAAAAGCACAACCAGGATGGTGATGGGTTTTGAAATTATGAGGAACATGAGAAACAGCAGTAAAGGAAAATGGTAAAGTGAGGGCAGTGTGCTAATAATTAACATAAATCTTTCCCCAAATGAAAGTTTTGTCATGTGAAAGGAAGATTAGATTTATTCTCTATGACCCTGCAAAACAAAACTATGGTCAGTGTACAGAAAAATGGAATGCATACTTTGATTAAGTATAAAGAATAAAATTGTGATAATTAGAGCTGTCCAATAATGGAACACGTGCGTCATACGCTGATGTATTCATTCCATGTCCTGCAAAGTATTCAAACAGGTCCCATAATATTATCCAAAGGATCCATGTACCAAGAATTACATTATTTCCATGGCATTCTAGGATTCTAACTACATACAAGTGAGTGTAGCATAGTTCATCTAGACAGTAGAACTCTCTAGCTGAGACATAATATTCTTGAATTGCTTTGTCTAAAACAAAATAGTCTAAAGCACATTTGAATATGACTGATGTTCATAAGCTAGATGCAAAATCATGTCTCATTACTTCATTGTCTAACTTCATTTAAAACAGTGAGTTTTTAAAATGTGGGTCCAAACTTTCAAAAGATTTGGCTTTTGAAATATAAACCCTCTCAAAAAAAATTTGTACTATCTATACCTTTTCAGATATTACAGATTTTTTTCTCAACACCTACCAATCTCAGACACATATCACTCCAAGTTTTAAAACAAAACAGAAAACATTAAAATAAAAAAAAAAAACAGAAAGAAGCAGATTTGCTGTTAGATAATAGGGAAAATTTGTCTTATCTAACAGATATAATATTGACTTTTCAAAAGAAAATATTCGTGGGCTTTAATCACAAAGAGAAGGAGACGTAATATATAATGCAGGAAAAATAAGTTTGTACAAAATTTTTACAGGGCACATTCTTTGTTCTTTGTCCATACTAGAAAAAATTAGTTGGCTATGAGTTGCAAAGAACATGCTGTTATAAAACGAAAAGTTGACATCTGGATCCAGCCCAAAGAATAAAAGCATCACCCTATAATATTTACTTAAGAATCACAGAAGTTCATTTTAAGGTTAAGAAACTTGCATAATAGAAAATTTTTATCAAAGTTTACTCAAGTTTGGCTACAGTGTATGTATATAAAATGCCTAAAATGGAGTACGTGATTGGGCAATGTAGTGCCTTTGAAGTTACATATTTAGTAATGCCTTAGCATTATTGCCTGTTTTAAATATAAAGAGCTTTCATGTTAGTTCCTGTGACCTAATGAATTTCCTCAAGAGTACTTTATTAAATCGTATCTTCCTAATGCTAGGAATAATAGCTACAGGAATAAATTAAATTTAAAATGATTTATTTTTGCCCACAAAAGAGCATTTCCCAGTTACACTTAAATAATGTCTTTTTTCTTTAATGTTTCACTTTGAAAACAAAATAAAATAACATTTTACTTTTATGTTTTTATTTCATATCTAGTTTTTACTTTGAGACAATAGATGAAAGGATGTTTAAAGGAGACAGTAAGTAGAGTTGCATAAAATAAAATGAGAATAAAATTTGGGAAATAAAATTCCATCTTCTAAGCGTGAAATAAGGGTATCTAATGAGTAAATTTAGGTAAAAAACCATTCTCATGATATTCACAGGAATGTATATTGTAAAGACTTTCCTGGAAGGCATTTTGGCAGGAAGGATAACTGCAGTTAATTTTCATATACTTTAACCTGATTATTCTACCTCTAGGATGTATTCTAAATAAACAACTACATGTACCACAAGGCTGCTCATGCAACCTGAAAACAACCATACTTATAAATATATACATAAAATTATATAACCATAAAATAATGCACAATTCAGTTTTTGATTAACATGGAAAGATTTTCAAATGGCAAGACCAGGTTATAGAATAATATATGTAATATGACCATTTTTGTGCATAGAGGATAAAAGTATGGGAAAGAACCCTAACTATGAACAATGATCCTGGTTGAGTTTGGGCGGGTGGGGAAAGGATTGGGAGGTGAGCAGCTTACATTAAGTCTTTTAAAAACATGGATTTAAACAATATTTTCTTGACACATTAAACTAGTAAATTTCTACTTTCTAATATAAAGAAAAAGCTAATCATTCAAAAAGCTTTATTAAATGATGTAAATAGCTTTGTTTCAATGTAACTTTTAATCACTATAAGCAAAATGAAGTATCTCAAGAATACTAATGATTACATTCATGTTTCCTCTGGATAGTAAATCCTTTGCTGCCATCTTCTGGAACTTGATTATTAACGTATACTCTGGGCTTCCCAGAAGAGACAAAAGAATAATTACATCCTTACATGAGCACAATGCTGACGCCAAATTAGCTGTATGCACGTGCTAAATCATTTCTTTTATTCTCATTAACCTACAGTCGGGCTCTGGACTTCCCTTGAGAATCCTGAATGGGATTATTTTTTTACAAAGAAATTCCCACTAAGTAATGCCTGGGCTTTCTTCAGTGCTGGATTTTAATTCCACAAAAACTCATAATCTTACAAATGCATATAATGATAACAGATAAAATAGAACAATTTGAATAAAGAGTAACGTGTAAATAAGTGATTAAAAAAACTTGAAACTATGTTTACCCTCCCCCCCCCTTTTTTTCAAACATTAGTTTGGGGCCCTTTATTTAGGAAATCTTAATCAGAAATCCAACATACAAACAAAGAGAACTGGGCATCCACTTGTATCCTTCTTCAAAAAAGTGCCTAAAAGTATATTTGCATTCGTGTGTGAAACTAGATTTGTCTTAAAGGGATCATGTACAAAGCAGGAAGGAGCCAAGCAATTCCAGAAAGGTGGATGAACAGAGGAGCTACACATGGGAGAAATGATGCAAAAAGACAGTGTGTGCTAATCGATCAGGAAAGAAGGAAAGCACTGGGTTAATTTCTTACATAACAATAATGTGGTTTTATATATGTGAGATGCCATTAAAAGTAAAGATTCCTTAAAACTTCAGTGATACAATAGAGGCTATATAATCAATCTTGTCTGGGACATTTCCAGGAAAAAGCAATGTTCTTTCAAACCTATCTGGGTCTTAAGATGTGACTGTACTGTGCGCTTTCCCTTCACCACTCACGTCTGGAAAGATAATGAACTCCCTCAGCCCCACTTCCTTATCTCCCATTCACTTGCAGACTTAATCAGTCATGCTTCAGCTTTCTTCTCTCCCAGTTGAAGCTGGTGAATGTTTAACTCTTGGGATGGGGAAGGATGTGAGAAGGGAACACCCTGATTTGTAGCATTGTAGCATTTGCTGATTTCAAGTAATTCCACCATCACTGATCTAAAGCTGATGTCATTGAATGCAGAGCTGGGCTTGGATGTGCACAAGAGACTCTCCTGAGTAGGTATGAGCTCCAGTGCACAAGGGCCTCTGCTGAGTAGGTGTGAGATCCAGCACACCTCTCTCTAATCCCTCTATTGAAACTGCTCTTACCTAGGCATGGTACAGATCCCAGTGACCTCCTAAGGAAAAATCTAGTTTGCTTCTCTACTTGACTAACAGGCAGCATGAGCCACTCCCTTATTGGTGAGCCATTCTCCTCTTTGGTTCTCTTCCTATTTCCCTGGCAATTTCTTGCCTTTCTGTGCTACGTACAACCTCTGCCCATAACTTGATAGATGCTTCCTAGGGTCCTATCCTCTGCTCCCTTCTGTATTCACTCCCCTTATAATCTCAGCCCCTCAACCACTCCCATATATCACAGGCACCTCCAACTCAGGGAGTCCCAGTCTGACATCATGCTGTCCCCTCTTCCTTTTTTACCTGCACCCGGCACACACTTCAATCGTACTATTTACCATAGTTTAAAAATGTATCTATTCCTCTCTATATTCACTGATATTGCCTAATTTCATCTGCATGTCATATCTCTCCTGAGCAAATGCCACAGCTTTTTGGGTGATTTTTTTTTGTCTACCCTCCTTTCAAATTCTTCTCCCCACAACCACCATTCATCTTCCAACTCAACTGTCAAAATTACACTTCTTTGGCACAGTCTAATTACATTTCCTGCTTTCTCCCATTTTTTCTCTAGGTTAAAATATTAATTGCACAGGCCATAATCAATCCTGCTTCCCTGCCATGTGTAGGAGGCACCAACAGAAATACAACTTATTAACATAAAGTTGTATGTTTTTCCCATTCTGAGCACCAGAATCTTGACTGAAAAAGTCAGGTATATGAAAATATAGTGTAGGGGTTATATGAATATCTGATTGCTGCCATAGTCATTTACTGTCTTACAACACCATCTCCAGACAGTTCTAGAGACCACAAGTCTGAAATGCATGAGCAGGGATGCACTCCTTCTAGAGGCTTTAGGGGAGAATCCGTTCCCTGCTCCTTCCTAGCTTCTAAGGGCCATGACCCTGCATCACCCCAACTTCTGCTTCCATCGTGGTCACACCTCCTCTCTGATTCTTACCCTCTTGTACTCCAATTGTATGGACCCCTGTGACTACACTGGGCCCACTCTGATAATCCATAATCTCCCCATTTTGAGATCTTTAATTTAATCACACCTGCAAAGTCTCTTTTGAAATGCAAGTTAACACATTCACAGGTTCTGGGAATTAGAACATGGACTTTTCTGAGAGTTAACTACAGGGGTTAGTTAAGAACGCTGGCTCTGGGTCCAATCCTGGTTCAATTAATTAAAAGCTACTTGCCTGGATTTGAGTGATCTGTCAGCCACAAGTTTACAGAACTGCCCCTTAGAGGTGGAGAAACTTTTTTTTTTGTTTTTAAGAGACAGAGTCTGGCTCTGTTGCCCAGGTTGCAGTGCAGGGGTGCAATCAAAGCTCACTGCAGCCTCAGACTCCTGGGCTCAAGCAATCCTCCTGCCTCAGCCTCCAAAGTAGCTAGAACTACAGATGCATGCCACCACATCTGACTAATTTGTAAATTTTTTGTGGCAACGATGTCTTGCTATGTAGCTTAGACTGGTCTCAAACTCCTGGCCTTGGCCTCACCCTCCCAAAAATGCCAGGATTACAGACACGAACCATGGCAACTGGCCAAAATAAGGATTCTTAAATAATCCCTTCATTCATCCTTTTAACACTCAGTAAGCATTCATTAAGTGCCGTTTACATGGCAGGCCCTATTCTAGGCTCTGGAAAAGAGTAGTGAACTAAATAAAGCTTCTTACCCTTAGAGAATTTATATTGTGGTGAGAGAAAACAGACAAATAGATAAACAGAATGCACAGTGTATCAAGTGCTATCAAGTGGCATGTCATTGAAGAGAAGGGAGACAGGGAATATGGCCTTTACAACTTTGAATGGAGCTATTTTAGAGAGTGGGGTTGTCAGCTCTGTCTCTGAATTGCTCTATGAACTTGGGCAAGTTTTATATGGCCTTGGGCAAATCTCCTAATCTGGTAGCACAGCTTCTTATGTGCAAGATGGTGATAATGTTTTATGAGGATGAACAGATTATATAATACAAAGTGATCATCATAAAATAAGCACTCAGCATATTTATTTATTTATTCGATAAATACTTACTATGTATTTACTTACACTGTTCCAAATGCTTATTAACTCGTTGAGCTATGTGTTACTTTGTTCTCCACCTTCCACCTAGAATGAATCTCTTCTAGTTAGATGAATTCATCTATTATGTGTTGATTCTTGGTTTCAACATCATCTCCAGGTTCTTGAGGCTGTTTCTGAGGCACTCCAGTAGAGAAAGTCTGCTTATTCCCTCCTTCCTCCCCTCTGCCTCAGGCACTTCCGTTAGTATTTCCAGCTTGTGTGCATCCAAACACCAACAGCAGTGGTGGGAGCATTTTCGTGCACAGGCCCGAGGAACATGAAAAGCTTACTCTGTGCCAGGCTGTGGGATAGGCTCAGACTGAAGGAAACTGAGTCCTTATCCATGTGGAACATACTTGGTTGAGGAGGGAGGACGGGAAAGTAAAGTCGACCAATAGATTACCAAAATAAACTGAGAATGATAAGTGCTATGAAGAGGGGAAAAAAAACAAATAGCTGAGAGTCTCTGAGAGCTAAGGTACTTCACTAGGTGAAGTGGTCTGAGAATTATTATCTGACCATTGAACTAAGACGTAAATAAAGAAAAGCAAGCCATGTGGAATGTTCCAGGAAAGGAGCATTTGGAGCAGTGGGAACATCGTGTGCAAAGGCCCTGAGGCAGGAGCAGCTTGGCACACTCCAGAAACAGAATGAAGGCCAGGGGAGCCACAGCAAGATGAGGGAGAGGAGCAAGGGCTGGACATGATGTGGGAGAGCTGGGCAAAGGCCAGATAAAGTAGGACATGGGAAGGAAGTTTGCATTTCTTTCTAAGTCTTTGTTACTCCTAATGTGGTCCAAGAGCAGCAGCAACTGCATTGCCTGGGAGCTTGTTGGAAATGCAGTCTTGAGCCCAACCCCAGATCAACTGAATCACAAACTTCATCTAAGCAAAATTCCCACATGACTCTGAAAATATATTAAATTTTTGGAAGCACAGTACTCTTAAGTTCATGGAAAGAAAGCCACATTCTTTGGAGATGGGGAGTTGCTTTTTTTGTTTTGTTTTGTTTTTTGTTTGTTTTGTTTTTTGAGGTGGAGTATTGCTCTTGTCACCCAGGCTAGAGTGCAATAGTGCAATCTCAGCTCACTGCAACCTCCACCTCTTGGTTTCAAGTGATTCTCCTGCCTCAGCCACCCCGGTAGCTGGGATTACAGGCATGCACCACCACGCCTGGCTAATTTTGTATTTTTAGTAGAGACGGGGTTTCTCCATGTTAGTCAGGCTGGTCTCAAACTCATGACCTCAGGTGATCTGCCCACCTTGGCCTCCCAAAGTGTTGGGACTGCAGGCATGAGCCACCGTGCCCAGCCCAGGTGGAGAGTTTTAAAGATCCCTCAGGCTGCCACATGAAGAGCAGATGGTAGAGATACAAGGGCAGAGCCAGCACTCTGGTTTTGAGATGGTGTGGTGGCCCAGGCCAGGTGGGAGAGCAGGAACCAGGTGGGAGTGGAGGAGATGGAGGAAATGGAGGGGACAGAGGTCATGTTTTGGAGACAGAGTCAACAGGACAAGCAATGGAAAAGGAAGAGATCCGGCCATCCTGGCAGTGTAGCCTCCACTCCTCCAAAGACACTGCAGGGCACTGCGGGAAGAGCCCTACCCTGCAGCCCGGTGTGGCCACACCCTCAGGTACCAAATCCACTCTCCCTTACCCCTCCGTACACCTAGCATCATCTCAGGACTCAGTGGATTTCTATTAGAGCCTGAAGCCGTGCAGGGGGAGCTTGGGGTTCATGGATTTCACCTTCAATTAAATCGGTCAAGAAATGCACGAAGTTGCCCTGGAGAGATACACTCTTTTTATTGTTATTACATGCACCTGTGCTCATTCATTCATTTACTTCTTCATTCATTCAACAAACATCTACTGAACCTCCAATATGTCCTCAGCACTGTGCCCTACTGGGAATACGGCAGTAAATAGCACATCATGTTATAGTCTATAAAAGGACTTTCCATCTATTTCAGCTCACAGTAACCCTGTGTTGTCTTCCTAAGGCCCATTCCATGTTGCTCCCAGCTAGAAAACCCATGGGTTCCCTGTCAACCTCAGAGTGAAGTATGAATTCCTGAATCGGGGTACAAGGTCCTGCATTCCAGGGCCCTGATGATGTCTCCAAGTTTATCTGCTACTCAAGGCTGTTTTGAGTGAATATCCCAGTTTTAAGAATCTGATGAAAATAAAAAGCCTCTCTCCAGAAAAAAAAATAGACATCCACAATTATGTTAAAACGTCTGGAGGTTTGTGGGCCCCCCTTGAGGCTGTCCATGAACCCCAGGCTTATAGACAATCTTGTCTCTGCCTTTAACTCAACAATCTTTGTTACACCATGGAGTTTCATGTAGTGGTGTCTTTGCTCAGGCTATCACTTCTGCCTGCGGTCCTTCCTCTCCATCTCCCCATGTAAATTTCTACTCATCCTGGGGGCCTAACACACATGCACAACACCACCTCTCCCACAACAGGAGTAATCTTTCTAACTTCCATATTCCTATACAATTCTGTACACCAACTTACTTTTTATTCTTTCCCTACCTGATTCTTTCCCTAACTGGATGGTGAGTCTCCCTGGACTCAGATAGACCCTATATGACCTCGGCAAAGGTTTTCAGCTCTCTGAGCTTTTATTTCCTCATCTGTAAAAATGAGTGTAATAATCCGTCTCCACATTGCTTGAGCCCAGGAGTTCAAGACCAGCCTGGGCAACATAGTGAGACCCCATCCCTACAAAATAAAAAGTAAAAATAAATAAAAAATGATAATTCTTCTCCCTCAGGGTGGCTGAGAAATGTAAGGAAAAGAAAGAAAATAGGCCTGTCACACAGCGATGTTTCACACATGTTTGAATAGACAAATGATGGAATGCATTTTACAGGAGAAGAAACCAAGGCTTCTCTCTAGGGACAAGACTCCCGTGTGGCCCATAGGTGCTTGTTCCAGAAGACACATCACTACCACCTGTGCAGTGCAGTCAGAACCAGGCTGTGGACCAGGCTGTAAGGAGGAACAAAGTCCAAAAATGGTCTGATCAGCCTTAAAACTGAAGCCACCAAAGTTGTCATGGGCTTTTTCAGGCAACCTGGCAATAGATAGAACGGCTCTGAGAGATGTAGGGGAGAAACATCCTGGGAAGGCCAGGAGGGGATGTGGGTACCCTCTTTTCATTCAGTTACCTTCTGAGCCATTTGTCTTCCTCCACTTTCAAAACCCATGCCCGTCTGTCGCCAACAGGGTACACCCTGTGCTCCCTCAGTTGCAGTTTCTTGCACTCATCTTCCAATCATCTCAACTCATTTATCATGGGCTCTAGCTTCCCCTCCACACCAGGCTTTATCAGAGCCTCCAATCCACTTTCAGTATCACCTTTTTCACTACCACACACTCATGTCCTCACTCCCCTCCTAACCTCATGTTGTTAAGTCGAACCATGGCAAATCAGAACTGTGTGTATGTATAGATCTATAGATAGATAGAATACAATAAAATTGATAAATTAGACTTCTTCAAAATTCAGAACTTTTGCACTTCCAAAGACACCATGAGGAAGTCAAATTGTCCCTGTTTGCAGATGATGTGATTGTATATTTAGAAAACCCCATTGTCTCAGCCTAAAATCTCCTTAAGCTGATAAGCAACTTCAGCAAAGTCTCAGGATACAAAATCAATGTGCAAAAATCACAAGCATTCCTATACACCATTAACAGACAAACAGAGAGGCAAATCATGAGTGAATTCCCATTCACAATTGCTACAAAGAGAATAAAATACCTAGGAATGCAACTTACAAGGGATGTGAAGGACCTCTTCAAAGAGAAGTACAAACCACTGCTCAAGGAAATAAAAGAAGACACAAATGGAAGAATATTCCATGCTCATGGATAGGAAGACTCCATATCATGAAAATGGCCATACTGTCCAAAGTAATTAATAGATTCAATGCCATCTCCATCAAGCTACCAATGACTTTCTTCACAGAATTCGAAAAAACTACTTTAAAGTTCATATGGAACCAAAAAAGAGCCTGCATTGCCAAGACAATCCTACGCAAGAAGAATAAAGCTGGAGGCTTCATGCTACCTGACTTCAAACTATACTACAAGGCTACAGTAACCAAAACAGCATGGTACTGGTACCAAAACAGAGATATAGACCAATGGAACAGAACAGAGGCCTCAGAAATAACAACACACATCTACAACCATCTGATATTTGACAAATCTGACAAAAACAAGAAATGGGAAAAGGATTCCCTATTTAATATATGGTGCTGGAAAAACTGGCTAGCCATATGTAGAAAGCTGAAACTGGATCCCTTCCTTACACCTTATACAAAAATTAATTCAAGATGGATAAAAGGGCCAGGTGTGGTGGCTCACACCTGTAATCCCAGCACTTTGCGAGGCCAAGGCAGGCAGATCACAAGGTCAGGAGATCGAGACCATCCTGGTTAACACGGTGAAACCCTGTCTCTACTGAAAATACAAAAAATTAGCCGGGCGTGGTGGCAGGTGCCTGTAGTCCCAGCTGCTCTGAAGGCTGAGGCAGCAGAATGGTGTGAATCTGGGAGGCGGAGCTTGCAGTGAGCTGAGATCGTGCCACTGCACTCCAGCCTGGGTGACGGAGCAAGACTCCATCTCAAAAAAAAAAAAAAAAAAAAAAAAAAAGATGAATTAAAGACTTAAATGTTAGACCTGAAACCATAAAAACCCCAGAAGAAAACCTAGGCAATAGCATTCAGGACATAGGCATGGGCAAAGACTTCAGGTCTAAGACACCAAAAGCAATGGCAACAAAAGCCAAAATAGACAAATGGGATCTTATTAAACTAAAGAGCTTCTGCATGGCAAAAGAAACTACCATCAAAGTGAACAGGCAACCTACAGAATGGGAGAAAATTTTTGCAATCTACCCATCTGTCAAAGGGCTAATATCCAGAATCTACAAAGAACTCAAATTTACAAGAAAAAACAAACAACCCCATCAAAAAGTGGGCAAAGGATATGTACAGACACTTCCCAAAAGAAGACATCTATGTAGCCAACAGACACATGAAAAAATGCTCATCATCACTGGTCATCAGAGAAATGCAAATCAAAACCACAATGAGATACCATCTCACACCAGTTAGAATGGCGGTCATTAAAAAGTCAGGAAACAACAGATGCTGGAGAAGATGTGGAGAAATAGGAACACTTTTACACTGTTGGTGGGAGTGTAAATTAGTTCAACCATTGTGGAAGACAGTGTGGCGATTCCTCAAGGATCTAGAACTAGAATTACCATTTGACCCAGCAATCTCATTACTGGGTATATACCCAAAGGATTATAAATCATGCTACTATAAAGACACATGAACACATATGTTTATTGTGGCACTATTCACAATAGCAAAGACTTGGAACCAACCGAAATGTCCATCAATGATAGACTGCATTAAGAAAATGTGGGCCAGGTGCAGTGGCTCACACCTGTAATCCCAGCACTTTGGGAGGCCAAGGTGGATGGATCACAAGGTCAGGAGATCGAGACCATCCTGGCTAACACGGTGAAACCCCGTCTCTACTAAAAATACAAAAAACTAGCTGGGCATGGTGGTGGGCGCCTGTAGTCCCAGCTACTCGGGAGGCTGAGGCAGGAGAATGGCGAGAACCCAGGAGGCGGAGCTTGCAGTGGGCCGAGATCGCGCCACTACAGTCCAGCCTGGGCGACAGAGTGAGACTCCGTCTCCAAAAAAAAAGAAATAAAGAAAGAAAATGTGGCACATATACACCATGAAATACAATGCAGCCATAACAAAGGATGAGTTTATGTCCTTTGCAGGGACATGGATGAAGCTGGAAACCATCATTCTCAGCAAACTATCACAAGGACAGAAAACCAAGCACCGCATGTTCTCACTCACAGGTGGGAATTGAACAATAATATCACTTGGACACAGGGCAGGGAACATCACACACCACACTGGGGCCTGTCCGGGGGTTGGGGGCTGGGGGAGAGATAGCATTAGGAGAAATACCTAATGTAAATGATGAGTTGATGGGTGCAGCAAACCAACATGGCACATGTAAACCTATGTATCAAAGCTGCACGTTGTGCACATGTACCCAGAACTTAAAGTATAATCATAATTAAAAAAAAAAAAAAAAGAAAGTGAAAAGAGGCTGGGTGCAGTGGCTCATGCCTGTGAACTCAGTACTTTGGAAGGCTGAGGCAGGCAGATCACTTGAACCCAGGAGTTTGAGATCAGCCTGGGCAACATTGTGAAATCTCATCTCTATAAAATATAAACAAAATTAGCTGGGCATGGTGGTTCATGCCTGCAGTCTCAGCTACTCAAGAGGCTGAGGTAGGAGGATGGCTTGAGGCTGGGAAACAGGCAGAGGTTGCAGTGAGCAGTGTTTGCGCCACTGCACTTCAGCCTGAGCAACAGAGCCAGACTTGGTCAAGAAAAAAAAAAAAAAAAGAAAGAAAGAAAAAGAAAGGAAGAAAGCATTCCCAGCCCTTGCCCTTCCTTTGAAGCTCTGCCGAATGCAGGTGATGGTGGCCACCTCCCTTTTATAGCAAACTGAATAACTGACTTTGTTTGTTCTCATTTGAGTGCTCTGTGTTTATTTCTGCACTTTGGACTAGGGGTGGCAAGAGTGATGGGGACAAGTGGACAAGTTGAGGTCTATTTTGGATATAAAACAGGCCAACCTTGATAATGGATTAGAAGGCAGAGGGGGATGCAGGAAAGAAAAGAGAGGCATCAAGAAGACTCCTTAAGACCAGGCATGGTGGCTCACGCCTGTAATCCCAGCACTTTGGGAGGCTGAGTACTCTTGAGGCTGGAGGTTTGAGAACAGCCTGGCCAGTATGGTAAAACCTCGTCTCTACTAAATATAAAAATTAAGTGGGCGTGGTGGCACACTCCTGTAATTCCAGCTACAAGGGAGGCTGAGGCAGGAGACTTGCTTGAACCCAGGAGGTGGAGGTTGCCTTCCAGCCTGGGCAATAGAGCTAGTCTTTGTCACAGAAATGAAAGTAAAGATAAAGAAGACTCCATAGGTGTCTGTTCCTGGCAAGTGGGTGGATGGTGGCATTGTTTACTGAGATGAAGGTCAGAAGAGGAGCAAGTTGGTGGGGTGGCTAAAAGCCAAAGTTAATTTTTTCATGTGAGATGACTATCAGATGAAGGTGCCAAGGAGAAAATTACATCCCTGAGTCTGTGCTCAGAGGGAAATCAAGCAGGAGAGAGGACATGGGAGTGGGCACACAAAGATGTTTTTTACAGCCAGGAATATGGATGATATCACAGAAGGAGACAGTGTAGACGAAGAAGAGATGAGGAAGTAGGACTGACTTTCAGCAGGATTGAATCTGTAGAAATCCAGTGTAAATATTTCTTTTCTTCTTCTTTTATTATTTTTTTGTTTTTGTTTTTGAGATAGGGTCTCACTCTGTCACCCTGGCTGGAGTGTAGTGGTGTGATCAAGGCTCACCGCAGACTTGACCTTCTGGGCTCAAGCGATCTTCCCACCTCAGCCTCCCGAGTAGCTGGGACCACAGGTGTGTGCCACCACACCTGGCTAATTTTTTATTTTTTGTAGAGACACATCTTGCTATGTTGCCCCAGCTGCTCTTCAACTCCTAGACTCAAGTGATCCTCCCATCTCAGCCTCCCAAAGTGCTAGGATTACAGGCATGAGCCAAAGTGCAGAGCTTGTAAATATTTATTGAGTGAATAAGACATTCTTCAGCCCTGAGTAAAGTTGATGGCCTCCCGAGGGATTAGATTAGAAATTCCCACACTCTGATGTGGGCAGAAAACGAGGAGGCAGCCTCAGAAACTGAGAGGAGCTGCCAGTGAGGACAAAGAAAACCTGCTGCCCCGGGATGAACCCCGCACTCCTCGGCACAGCGTGGGCTCACCTGGGCCACCTGCCTGCCGCCTTCCTCTTCAATATCATCTCTTCCTGCCATCCTTTTTGGACCAATTTTAGCATTTCCCTAAATGTATCCTATTGCTTCAGACCTTCGTATGTGCTGTCCTCTCTCTAGGATTACAAAAGTCATGTGAACTCATTATTAGTAAATCAAACACAAGGAAGCACATGACAGAGAGGGTAGAAGCTGCCCATCACCCCCAACTCTCCATTAGTAAGCATTTGTGCTATGTGTCTGCAGATGTGTTTTCTGTGCCTAATCTAATGCACTCTCTCTCACACACATTCACACCATATTTTCCTCCATGCATCCAAAATGGGAAATAACCTCATTTACCACATGCTTTTTCCTCTTAATACATGACGGACTCTTTTCATGTACATAGAGAGTACACACTTCCTTATATTTCAGTACAAATGTACATACAGTACATTTCAGTACGCAGAGAGGTGCCTCATTCTTTAAGACAGATGTTTATTAGAGTTTGATTGTATGAATTAATCACAATGTACTTAAGCAATCTGCATTAATGAAGCATTCCTCTCTCTCTTTTTCTTTCTTTCTTCTTTCTTCTCTTTCTTCCTTCCCTCCTTCCCTCCCTCCCTCCCTCCTTCCTTCCTTCCCTCCTTCCTCTTTCTCTCTCTGTCTCTCCCTCTCTCTCTCTCTCTCTGTCTCTCTGTCTCTCTCTCTCTCTCTCTTTCCCTCTCCCCCTCTCCCTCTCTCTCTGCCTCTCCCTCTCCCTCTGTCTCCCAGGCTGTGGTGCAGTGGTGTGATCACAGTTCATTACAACTTCAACCTCCCTGGCCCAAGTGATCCTTCCTCCTATCACCCAGGCTGTAGTGCAGTGGTGTGATCACAGATCACTGCAGCTTCAACCTCCCTGGCCCAAGTGATCCTCTCTCTTCAACCTCCTGAGTAGCAGAGATCACAGGTGAGCACCACCATGCTAAAGTTTTTGTAAAGACAAGATCTCACTATGTTGCCTAGGCTTTTTTCTTTGTAATTATAAATGTGGCAATGCTCTACTTTGTACAATCTGTACAAACGCATGCTCTTAGACAAATACATTCTTAGAAGTAGAGTTGTGAGGTTAAAAAAATGGTGAATGCTTTTAATTTAATAGATATTGCCAAACTGCACTCCAAAGAGTTCAGGACAATTTTTCCAACAAGTGTGAATTAAATTCCTAGTTTATCTACGCTCTTGTCAAGACTGGATATTGTCAATCATTCAACTCAGTCAATTTTATAGAAAAAAAGATATTGTATTATTGTTTTAATTTGAATTTCCTAGAATATAAATAAGGTTTCTAATAGTTTTTCACATTCTTTGCCCATTTTTATGTAGGCTTTTTAACCTTTTGATTTGTAAGGGTTCTTGGTATATTAGCTGTCTTATGTAAGTATTGCAAATACTGTTTTTTATTTAAATTTTTTTTTACTTTCTTTCTCTTTCTTTTCTTTTTTTTTTTTTTTTTTTAGAAACTGGGTCTTGATCTGTCACCTAGGCTGGAGTGCAGTGGTGTCATCACAGCTCATTGTATCCCAGACCTCCAGGCTCAAGCAATTCTCTCTCCTCATCCTCCTGAGTACACCTGGTACTACAAGCACACATCACTACACCCAGCTAATTTTTGCATTTTTTGTAGATACGGGGTCTCACTATGTTGCTAGGCTGTTCTCAAACTTCTAGGTTCAAGCGATCCTCCCACCTCAGCCTCCTAAAATGCTGAGATTACAAACAGGAGCCACCGCACTCAGCTGCAAATACTTTTTCTTTGTTTGTCTTAATTATTTTTTCAAATATAAATATAGATGGGCTCTATGCTGCCCAGGCTGAAATGCAGTGACTATTTACAGGTCTAATCAATCATGGTTCATTGCAGCCTTGAACTCATGGCCTCAAGCTGTCCTCCTGCCTCAGCTTCCTGAGTAGCTAGGACTACAGGTATACACCACCATGCCCAGCTAATTTTTGTTTGTTTGTTTGTTTGTTTGTTTTGTAGAGACAGAGTCTCACTATGTTGCCCAGGCTAGTCCCTGGCCTCAAGCAATCCTCCTACCTTAGTCTCCCAAAGTTCTAGTTTTACAGGCATGAGCCACCATGCCCGGCCAGCTTATTAATTTTTATTTTTGCTTTATAAAGGCTTAGAATTTTATGTGGTCATGCTTATGAAGACCCTTAATATTCCATTTTTTTTCTAAAATCTACTCATCTTTATTCTAGAAAGTTATTGATTTCATTCTCTTATATATAAGCATCTTTAAACCATCTGGAGTTATTTTGGTGTTGAAAGGGTAGGAATCCAGCTTCTCTTTGTAAATATTTATTGAATGAATGAATGAGACATTCTGCAGCCCTAAGTAAAGTTGATGGCCTCCTAAGGGATTAAATGGTTAATAATGTTGTTTGTTCACTCGACAAATATTTCTAAACCAAATGCCCGCATGGAAGAATGCAATGGTGAATAAAATCAGATATAGATCCCACCCTGTGGCTATCACATTTGATGGGACAGGCAGACATTGGCCAGATAACAGAAATAGATGTAAAACCTAGAAAGGAGATACGTGCTCTGAAAGAGCATATAATAAAGGAAACTACCCTAGCCTGGGAGGTCAAGAAGGTGTTACTGGCTAAGGAAGTTTCTTGGGAAGTGCCCTTAAGACCAGCACCTGTGAGAGGGTGAAGCTAGCAGGCCTCGGCAGGCAGAGAAAACCGCACTGGAGTTGCAACAAAGGTCTTAGCCAATCCCACAGGGAGTTTTAGATGGTAGATGACCCTTCAAAATTGCACTGAATTGAGGCGAGGGGTCTGAGCTTTTATTGCCCACCCCATCTCCCTCCTCCAGTGGACCAGGTAATGGATGCAGGCTGTCCCCAGGCAGCTTCTTTCAGCCACGGCATTTCCAGAGTGAGACTCATCTGCCAGCATCAGCCTCCAAGTCTCCCAGCAGCTGGGGAATGAGGGCCTGGTCCTGAAGTGACATCTGGGTGGCAGGTCACAGCATCCACTACAGAAGTCTTCCATAAAGAAGTTGGGGAGACCTTGAGTAGAGTACTGATGGGTAAGTGGAGATTAACTAGGCACAGAGAACGAAGACTTTTACTAGGAGCAGCATAATTTCTCCAGCACAATGCCATGGGAAGCCTTTGTACATCACAGGCAGGAAGGGAAGCAGGGAGACTATTTAGGAGGCTACTAAAGGAATAGGTTCGTATAATACATTAAAATCTGGATATGAACATATAAAAAACTAGAAAGACAGAAAAGGTAAGTCTCCTGATAACCGCAGTCCTCAGAGACAGCAACTATTAAAGGTTTTTGTGGTTTTGTTTGTTTGTTTGTTTCTGTTTTTTTTGTGGATGGAGTCTCACTCTGTCGCCCAGGCTGGAGTGCAGTGGTGAGATCTTGGCTCACCACAACCTCCGCTTCCTGTGTTCAAGCAATTCTGGACCAGCCTCCCGAGTAGCTGAGATTATAGGTGCACACCACCATGCCCGGAATTTTTTTTTTTTTTTTTTTTTTTTTTTTTTTTTTTTAGTAGAGATGGGGTTTTACCATGTTGGCCAGGCTGGTCTCAAACTCCTGACCTCAAGTGACCCACCTGTCTCAGCCTCCCAAAGTGCTGAGATTACAGGTGTGAGCCACCACACCCAGCCAACTATTAATGTTTTCATGCATTTCTATTTTAATATTTTTTATTTTATATTAAAAAAAGATGAGGTCTCACTATGATACTCAGGCTGGTCTCAAACTCCTGGCTTCAAGTGATCCTCCCACCTTGGCCTTTCAAAGTGCTGGGATTACAGGCATGAGCCGCCACACCTGGAGTACTGCATTCCTTTTCCATCTTTCTCCTCTGCACATTTTACTTAAAAGCTAGGATTTTATTGTAGATGTGATTTGGTTTTCTGCTTTTTTCTACACATTTTCTCTATACGTTTTCTGTTTCTAATTACAAAAGCAGTACATGCCAGTTACATAAACTCAGAAAGTACAAATTTTAAAAAAGAAATAAAGAATACTTCTGACCAGGCATGGTGGTTCACACCTGTAATCCGGTACCCCACAGTTTCCAGAGCTCCTATGTCCATGGTCCGGCTCAGCACCTGTCATGCTGAGAATACTTGGGAAATGCCAGCTAAGGACTGTCACCTCAGGAGGGTCTCTTCTCATCTCCAAAGCTGTCTTCTGCTTAGTGAGATGCACACAGACACTGGGCAAGTGTGTATTGAGCTGCTAATCTCTCCCACGCACTGGAGACACATCCCTAGACTGACAGAGTCCCTTCCCTTGTGCTGCTCTCCCCTTGATGAGACAGACCATGGAGACAGGTAAAAAGCTAAGACAACCTGAGCTGTGAAGGAGGCAAGCAGGGGCTGAGGGATGGAGGCAGCAGGGTAGGAACAGGTAGTGGTGGCCCGGATGTCTGGAGCCCATGGCCGGGGCAGGACCCTGCACTGCTCTGCTTGGGGAACTAGCTGGGCTCAAGTCATGAGGACAGACAGTGGGCAGGGTGAGGCTGGCACAATGCAGTCCCTTCCCCGCTGCTGAACACGTCACCTTCATGGGGTGGGAGCACAGATTTGGGGAAGTTGAGAGCCATCCTGATCCTACAGGTGGTTGTTTTTGAAAGCAAAAATCCAAGGCTTATGCTCCTGGGACAGGGGAACTCTGGGGCTTCGAGTCCTCCCCATGGCCTTCACATTGGGCAGTGAAGATGTCATCCTATTGAATCTGAGGGAGGGAGAAGTGTTGTCACTTGGGGTATCAGCTTTCATCTCACTTAGTCCTTAAAGCGGCCCTGCGAGGTAAGGACCACCATCAGCCCAATTTACAGATGAGGACACTGAGCACTGAGGCTCAGAGAAGTTACATGGCTTGCCCAAAGTGACACAGCTACTATGTGATTGAATGGGATTGAACTCAGGTCCTTCTTAGACAGCTCAAACTGTTGATGGAACACTCTGGCTCACAGATGAGCAGGTAAAGTGGAACAAACACTTTGATTTGGCAATATTCACCAAAGCTAAACATTTGCCTGCCACGAACTAGCAATTTCAACCCTGCACATGTACGTTACACAGATGTGTCTATATCTTCACTAAAATACAAGTGATACGGTTTGGCTGTGTGTCCCCACCCAAATCTCAATCTCATCTTGTAACTCCCATAATTCTCACGTGTGGTGGGAGGAGCTGGGTGGGAGATGATTGAATCATGTGAGTGAGTCTTTCCTGTGCTGTCCTCGTGATAGTGAATGGGTCGCATGAGATGTGATGGTTTTAAAAACAGGAGTTTCTGTGCACAAGCTCTCTCTTTGCCTGCTGCCATCCACATAAGATGTGACTTGCTCCTTCTTGCTTTCTGCCATATTAGTGAGGCCTCCCCAGCCATGTGGAACTGTAAGTCCAATAAACCTCTTTCTTCTGTAAATTGCCTGGTCTCGGGTATATCTTTATCAGCAGCGTGAAACGGACTAATACAACAAGTAAAACAACGTTCATAGCAGCACTATTTGTAATAACCTCAAACTAGAAACTTCCCAAATATCTCACAGAAGAATGGATAAAAAAAAAAAACCCATGGTACATTCGAGACTAGAATACTATACATCAAAGAAAATGAATAAATTATGGCTACAACATGAATGAATCTCACAACCTCATATTGAGTTAGACCTATAAGAATAGACAATATGTGATTCCATTTATGTAAAGTTATGGTCAGGCAAACTAATCTCCAGTGATAGAGTTTACCTGGGGGTAGGGATGCAGGGAATTGAGCCTTCTGTGTGGCCTGAAATGTTTACAGTTGTCCCTCGACGTTTGTGGGGAATCAGTTTCACTACCTTCCACAGATACCAAAATCCACAGATGCTCAAGTCCTGATATAAAATGGTGCAGTATTTGCATATAACCTAAGTATATCTTCTAGTATATTTTAAATCATCTCTAGACTACTTATGCAATCATGTGTCAGATAATACATTTCAGTCCATGCCAGAATGTATATAGGATGGTGCTTATAATCCCATAAGATTATAATGGAGCTGCCCTATACAGGTGTACCATTGCCAAAAATTGATATTTAAAAAGAGATGGGGTCTCTTTATGTTGTCCAGGCTAGTCTAGAAATCCTGGGCTCAAGTGATCCTCCTAACTTGGCCTCCCAAAGTACCGGGATTATAGGCATGAACCACCACAACTGGCCAGGTGTACCAGTTTTTAGTGTTTATACTGTATTTTTATGTGCCTTTTGTGTTTAGATACACAAATAGCCACTATTGTGTTACGATTTTCTACAGTTCTCAGTATGGTAACATGCTGCAGAGGTTTGGAGCCCAGGAGCAATCAGCTCTACCATTCAGCCCAGGTGTGTGTCTGGCTGTACTCTCTGGAGGAAGCTAAGGAGAAATGACCTAAAGGCAGAGGGTGAGTCCGAGGTGGGATCCCGGAACAGGTATGGGAAGTTGGGCAAAAACGGATGAAATCTGAAAAAATTTCACCATATTAACATAATTACTGCATTAATAACCTTAGATAATAGTTCACACTATCATGTAGTCAATAGGATTGCACCCATGTTAAGTTTCTTAATTTTTTAAAAGAGACAAAGTCTCACTCTGTCACCCAGGCTGGAGTGCAGTGGTGTGATCATAGCTCACTGCTTCCTGGAACTCTTGGGATCAAGCAATGCTCCCACTCAGCCTCCTGACTAGATGGGACTATAGGCACATGCCACCATGCCTAGCTAATTTCTTTTACTTTTCTCTAGAGACAGGGTCTATCCATATTGCCAAGGCGAGTCTCAAACTCCTGGGTTTAAGCAAACCTGAGCTTCCCGCCTCTACCTCTCAAATTGCTGAGATTACAAGTGCAAGCCACCACACCCAGCCTAAATTTCTTAGTTTTGACAAATGTGCCATGGTAATGCAAAATGTCATTATTAGGGGCAGCTGGATGGAAGGTGTATTTCTAAAATCATTTCAAAAGTAAACATTTATTTTAAAACAGGAAGGTGGTTATACTTCCATGAGTGTAAAGTACAAAAGGCAGGCTCACAATGCTGTCAGAATTCAGAACACTGGTTGCAGGACTAGGGGCACTGGGAGGGGCTGGGCATGGTTGGCTTTGTGATCTGGGGGCTGGTGTGTTCTATCTTTGAATGACTTTTGAGCTGAACACTTACATGCAGGGATGTAAGTCATATCTTAATAAATTTTCATAAGTTTAACAAAAAATAAAACGAGGATCGGAAGCTTGTTTGGGTTGTGGGACCTCGGGTGCTTATCCAACCATAAGCCCTGGCCCAGATGGTTCTAGAAGCCTGGAAGGAACTGAGAACATTCCAAGTAGAGGTGGCAGAGCCAAGGCTTCAAGGTGGGAGCACACTGCTGCACGTCCCTAGCTGTGAACGGGGTGCCCTGGTTGGAAGCAGTGCTGTGTGCACTGTAGGGCGAGCTAGTCCATGTCCACATTGTGGCTCAGTGCAGTGAAAGCCAATCTCAGCCCCTGCTGTGGCTATAGCAGTGGCTGCAAGGCTTCAGGATCTCACCCAGCTTCTGCGAGGTGAACTGTGACAATGACAGAGCTCCACAGTGCCAGGGTCCCCTGCATGGTCATGCTGACTGCAGCTGGGAGCCCACCACACCCCTAGTGCCCCTCTCTTCCCAGGGCCGGGGTCTAGGCCCTGGGAAGAGAGGGGCACAGTTTGGGACAGAGGCCCCAGGGCATGCTGCTGGCTGGCCGGGGCTGCAGGGATACCATGCTCACCTTTCTCTCTCATGGCCTTAATGAAACCAGCTTCCCATTGAACAGGATTTTCCAAGGTGTCTGGGGCTGCGGGGCAGCTGGTGGGGTGCTACCCTGGCTCCTTCCAGGCATGCCAGTCACTGGCCACCAACGGGGCCAGATGCAGGTGCCCATGTTGCAGCGGGGGTATCTCCCGACCTCCCTCTTAGTCATGATGGGTCTGGGCAGGGCCTGGTGTCGCGGTCCACATGGGCTTCCTGGGCAAGGCCTGTCCCAATGACAGCCCTAGCAAGCAAAGACAACAAAAAAGACTAGCTCATATGGTCCAGCTTTGGGGTCTTGGAAGAAGTTGCTACCAGTATGAGGGTGGGAGGTCAGTTTCCTCCAAGATCCAAAGAGCATGTCAGCCATCCTTGGGGTCAGGAAAGGAGCCCAGCCTCTCCACCAGCCAGACAGGCCTGCAGTAGGATGGGGCTGGGGCTGGCCATGTGGAGCACTTGGGCCGAATGAGGGGAAAAGGAAGACCATGGGGCAGAGGAAGAGCATGGGGGCAGCTGATGGCCCAAGGAGAAGACACTTCAGAGAAGGGGTCTGTATTAGTTTGTTTTCACACTGCTATAAAGAAATGCCTGAGACTGGGTAATTTATAAAGGAAAGAGGTTTAATTGACTCACAAGTCAGGAAATTTACATTCATGGCAGAAGGTGAAGAGGAAGCACCTTCTTCACAAGGCGGCAGGAGGCAGTGAGTGGAAAATGAGAAAGTGCCACATTTTAACACCATCAGCTCTCCTGAGAACTCACTCACTATCAGGGGGACAGCATGGGGGAAACTGCCTCCAAATCCAATCACCTCCCACTAGGTTCCTCCCTTGACACATGAGGATTACAATTCAAGATGGGATTTGGGTCAGGACACAGAGCCAAACCTATCGGGGTCTCAGTCTGTCTTGCAGCTCCCCTGGGGCTGGGCTGAGTGCAGATCTGCTGGCCCTGCTCTACAGCACGTGGGGGCTCTACCTGTACGCTACCATCTGTTGCTTCCTGGTGGTGGTGGCCTGCTTCCTCAAGAGGAGGGCAGATCTGCTCCTGCCAGCCCCCCACAGGACCCTGTGGAGCCCTGGCCATCCTTCCAGGATGAGGACATGAAACTGGCTCCTTGCCCTTCTTGCTGCTTGAGTGGCAAACCTCGGGTCATCCCTAGGTCTTGTCACTGCCCCTGCTTCTAAATGGAGAGTGTTTTGCCAAACCTTCCTGGGAGAGGCCCTTTATTTGTTCTATGCTGATAAAGCCAGATCAAGACATCTTGGCAAGCAGACAAGAGTGGCACCCAGGAAGGGTGAGTGTAGGGTGCTGGCCTTCGGGCTTGCCTGGAGCTGGGGATTACTAGAAAGCAGGGATGTCAGGGCTAAAGTCAGGAGAAGGTGGTTACGCTGGGGGTGTGTGGCTGGCTTGGGTCGGGGCATAAGTGAGAGCCAAGGTTTTTCAGCATGCAGCAGGGGCAGCTGACACCTGGCCTAGGGGCTGCAGAGCCCATGGGTTGCTCTTAGTTCCTGGATCCAGGGGGAATTCTGGAGCCGGGGTCTGGGGCTGCCTAGGGGTGGAGGTGGTGGGAGGCGGGGGGAGGGGCGGGAGAGGGGGCCTTGCATGGCAGGTGAAGGACAGGAAGCCGGCCAGGGGACAGTTTGCAGTGGTTGCTGCCATCCCCGCCTCTACCCCCGAACCCACCCCTACCCCCACCCTGGTGCAGGGTCCGGCCTGAGCATGTGTCCTCTGCTTTGACCTCAGCAGATCACAAGATGGAAGTCACAATTACAAGTGGAAGCACCCCGTCGGTGTGCCACTCGAGTCAGCAGTGACCTGCAGCTTCTGCTTCCTGGAGTGTGGGGTGCCCACCCAGGAGAGCATGGAAAGGCGCACACCCCTGACCTTGAGGGTGCTGGGAGATGGGGGCCAAGGTCCTGCTGCCCTGCAGGTACCCTGAAAGGTGGCCTAGGAGTCCTGCCTGAACAGCTGCAGAGAGGGAGAGGAGGAGGGAGACAGAAGTGGAGAAGAAGGAGACAGAAAGAGATGGGGAGAAGGGAGTGAGATAGAGAGAGAGGAAGAGAGATGGGGAGAGAGACAGAGGAGCCTGAGAGGAAGAGTAGGGAGAGAAATAGGAAGAGAGACTAAAAGGCAGAGAGAGACAGGGAGAGAGGTGCATGAGTAGGAGGTCGGGTCACTCGATCCCAGTTCGCAGTGAAAACCGTAGGTCACCATCGCCTAACCACACATGCAAGGAAGTCTTCTGCCTGCTGCTTGCAGTTCTTGAGAGTTCCTTCTAGAGAATAAAACCTTTGACTGCTGCCCTTCCTCAATGGATTTTGATCGTGTTTTCTGGTGAACGGTGATGTCTCGCCTATTGCCTTCCTGGGCTCAAGGATCCACCAAAAGCTGACACCTCTTCTGGGGAGGCTCTGCAGTGCCTTCATGTCACTAGGTTCCCCAGGAAGCTTGTGAACTTACATTATTATGTAAACTGAAATTATTCACCCTGCACCACCCAAAATTATCTTTCATACCTACATCCACCAAAGGGTCCCATAGCACACTTTGGGAACTGCAGACAGTAAGCCTGGAGCTCCATTGCGCACTCCATCTTTTCACCATCCGTGGGCTAACAGGCTGTGTTAGTTTGCTAGGGCTGTCTTACAGACTGGCCACAGACTAGGCACCTTCAACAACTGAATCTTACTGTCTCACATTACTGGAGGCCATGAGTCTAAGATCAAGTTGTCAGCAAGCGGGTCCCTTCTGAGGGCGGTGCAGGAAGGCTTTTTTCCAGGCCTGTCTCCTGAGGTGTGGGTGGCTGTCTTCTCCTTGTGACTCTTCATTAAGGGTGATTCTGGTGAGAGCTCAGATGAGGAGAGCTGGATAGAATGTTTGTAGAATATGGAGGGGGCTGGGTGTGGTGGCTCATGCCTGGAATCTTAGCACTTTGGGAGGCTGAGGCAGGAGGATTGCTTGAGGCCAAGAGTTCAAGACCAACCTGGCCAACATAGGGGAGACCCAGTCTCTTAAGAAAAAAAAGAATATGGAAAAGAAAGGTCATTCTGATAAGTCTCAGATGGAAATGAAGAACATGTTATTGGAAACTGGAGGAAAGGCGACATTTGTCACAAAGTGACAAAGAACTTGACTGCATTGTGTTCATGCCCAAGTGTTTTCTGGAAGGCAGAACTTATGAATAATGAGACTGAAATTTGCTAGAAGAAATATCTAAGCAAAGTATTGAAGGAGCAGCTTGATTCTCTTGAATGTGTATGGGAAAATGAAAGAAAAGAGGAATGATTTAGAGACAGAAGTTATCAAAAGGGAAGCAGAACTTAAAGATTTGGGAAATTTTTATTCTTCTCAGCCTGTCCATATTTTAACAAATAAAGTGTGGGAGAGAACACAAAGGTTGTGAATCAGGAGACATGGATCAGGACTGTACTCTTCACCAGGACAATGAAAGAGCAACCCGGAAGGTGTTTTGTAAATTGCTTGGGCTGCACTCTCATCACAGGACCATGTTGCCAGAGCATTGAGGGCAGTACAGTTTCCAAGGAAGGCCCTAGGGTGCCCTGGGGACCTTGGGGCTTGCTTCCCAGCAATCCCTGAAGTCACTGGTCCCCACATTCTGGTGTGGCACCCCTTGGTTGCTCCAAGTGTTGCTCAATGGGCCCTGGTGCAGTGGGGGATGTGATGTCACCTCTCCAGAGGGCACAGGCAGAAAACCCTTTGGCAGCATCTATGTGGCGCTAATTCTGCAGGTATGAAGATTTTGCCTTTTCCTTATAGAAACTGTGGAGGCAATGAAGAAAGTAGCAGGGGTGGATGTGTAGCTGTCAGTTGAAGAACCTCCTATCTGTTGATATAAGAATGTGATTGGAGCTAGAAGAGCCTCTTAGAGAATAATCAGCAGCATTGAACCAAAAGAAACAAACAAGGGAGGAGGAGAAAAGCTAAAACCGGTTCGGGAATATTGGCAAATGGTGAGATTGTTGTACAGTAGTCCCCCTTTATCCACAGTGTGAGTTACCTATGGTACGGTACAATAAGATATTTTGAGAGAAAAAGAGCTACATTCATATAACTTTTATTACAGTATGTTATAATTATTCTGTTATTTATCTTTTACTGAGCCTAGTTTATAAATTCAACTTTACCATGGGTATGTATGCATAGGACAAAACATAGTATATATGGGATTTGGTATTATCCATGGTTTCAGCACATGCACTGGGGGGGTCTCCAAATGGATCCCTCTTGGATAAGGAGGAACTATTGTACTTTCAGGAAAAATGATGAGTGTTTTTTTAAAAAAATGTTGAGTTTATTTGTCCCATTCCTCTTTTTATTGAAAGACTCAGCTTTTCTATCCAATGTTGTAGTTTTTAATCTTTGGGTTTTATACAACAGAAGTTATTTTAGGGAGGGGGGTAGTTGTTACATGAATATGTACTAATTTCTGCCTTTTATTTTTATAGTTTTAGAAAATGTCTCCAAGGAAAGGGAGGCTTATTTCTTCTGAGTGGCTGGCTTAAGTCACAGGCTTGTATCTGTCAGTAATTTGGCCATAGTCATTGGCATTTTAGGTCACTGCCTAGTGCACACATGATTATCTATGTAGTATATAATCATAAAATGATTATATGTTGTATATATATATGATTATATATACATATATATACACATATATAATCATATATACATATATATGTATACATATATACTACATTACATATGTAGTATATATATAATCAGTGTACATATATACTATGTACATATGTACAGTATACATATATACTATGTATACATCATATATGTATAATCAGTATACATATATACTACATTATATATGTAGTATATAAAAACATTTTATACCTTAGTAGATTTTTGCCTTTTGCTCACATTGATTAGGCTACAGAATATTTTAGAGCAAAGGCGAAGAACTTTTTCTCCTGGAAGCTGCCAAGGGTGGTGTTCAATTTTGAACACGGCACAACCAGAAAACAAATTGAATTTTTGTTTTTCTTCTGTTAACTAAAACTCTTTATTGACTACCAGAAATGATTATTCATTGCAATTTAACAAGTATTTGTGTTCCTCTTGTGTGCCACAAAATTTGCCTAGGTACTGTGAGTGTAAAGATGAAACAGATAAGATTACTATTCTTGTTGAGGCTCAGTCTAGTCATTGTTTTTTAAACAGAATAGAACATATCAGAGTGGGACACCGTAAGGGAAAGAATGATTTGATGAAGTTATTTCACATACTGTGTGTGTATATACATGTACAAAATGTTTCTTATTGTAGGTCTTGTTCAAAAAAGTTTGATAGCCATTACTCTAGTGCGGTGGTTTTCAATTGAGGTGATTTTGTCCTTCAGAGGATATTTGACAATGTCTAGAGATATTTTTGATTGTCACAGCTTGGAGGGTGCTACTGGCATCTAGTGGGGTGGAGAGTGGGATGCTGCTGACCATTCTACTATGCACAGGACAGCCCCCACAGCAAAGAATGATTCTGCTCAAACTGTCAATTTTGAGAAACTGCTGCTGTTAAGAAACTGATTCTAGTGGAAGAGACAGGCACGTAAACACATGAAAGAGAATAGGGACGGGAATTAGAGGGAAGGTGGAAGGTGAGCTTGGTAAGGAGAGGGAAAGCGGGGGAACCACAGTTACTGACTCACCAGCTCTACTGGGCACTGTCCTGAGTGGGGAAATAATTTTATCATATGTATTTGTGCAAAGTATTGTATGAAATCTTTAAAATGGCACTGGAAGGGGTTGGTATTATCCCAACCTATGAATGCACAAACTGGGGTTAGGAGTGTCTAAGTAACATACCTGAGGTCACACAGAAAGTTGCGAGCTGGGGCCGGGCATGGTGGCTCATGGCTGTAATCCCAGCACTTGGGGAGATGGAGGCAGGAGGATCGCTTGAGCCCAGTAGTGGGCAAAAAAAGTGAGATCCTGTCTCTAAAAATAAAATAAAATTGTAAGCTGGGATTGATGCACTATTACTCTGAAATACGTTGGGTCAAAGAATTTGGATGATCAATGGACAAGTTTTGTGTCCCAGAGGAATGATGAAGTGAGAAAGTTGAAAGTGCTGAAGAAAGAACTCCATAAGCTACATTGTGGGACTTGGGCTAGCTAGGAAAGGGAAGCAGGAAGCAAAGAGAGCAACTGATAAATTGGGGGAAGATGTGAAAAGCTCAAGAGTCTGGACATCTTAGATGAGATACATGCATTAAAAAAAAAAGAAAGAAAGAAAAAGTAAAAAAAAAAAAAAAGAGTCTAGATGTCTTGATGAGTTCCTAAATAGAAATAACAAGAGAAGAATAACTAAAAAAGGAAGCCATGGGCCTTTTGGAGTGGAGTATTACAGTTTAAGACTTCCAGTACGGAGCCCCACAATTAGGGGTATGGACAAGTGAAAGTCTTGGAGTATTGAGCAAAGAATTCTATTGAATGGAACATGGCCACACCATACCTTGGTGTGATCTCAGGTATTGGATAGGTTGGCTGTAGATATTCAGTGAATGTGGGAGAAGGGCCTATATATCTATTGATGACAGAAACTGAGAAATAGAACATAGAATATTGGCTTGTGAGGAGGAAGGGTTTGGAGTAATAGGAGAGCAGTCACTGAGTATGTGAGGACCTAGGAGAACTTAGAAATCTTCCTTCTACAGCAGTCCCTATTTGAAAAGCCCTCAGGGAGATAGTTTATTCAGAAAATAGTTTTGCTTAGCTAAGATAAGAATGCGATTATAGAGGAAAAAGTGAGAGAATGTTTTACAGTGGAAAGGAGGTTCCAGGAGCATGAGGTGAACCTGGAAGGGTTCAACAGTAGTGCCATGAGTTAATAGAAAATAGGGAGCATTTTCTATTCTGGGTATGTGTGTGTAGAGGTGGTGTACATTTTCAGCTTCATAAATGGATACAGATGAGTGGACATATATATATAATATATTATATAATATATATTATATATATAATATATTATATAATATATATAATATAATATATATATACTATTAGTTCTGTCCATCTAGAGAACCCTGATTAATACAGCATTGTATTTTACTAAATTTCTTATTTCTTGTTATGCACATTTAGTTTTTCAATACATTGATTTATTAAATTTCTATCTCAATGTGATTTGTTTATACAAAATTGAATTAGTGAAATATTAACATATTTTAGAGATGTGGAAAAAATACCAGGTATGAGTTTAATTACTAGTCAATGAATTCATTCAGATAATTCAACTAGGATTAAGCTTTTTAAAAATTAAAAATAGTAAAAATTCATATTATTTTAAAGACTTTCAATAAACGTTTTTGGTTTTTATTTGCTTTAAGAATTTCCTATGCGAATTAAATGATGTTGATTTTGTTTACTTTAGTAGCACATGCTCTTTTAGCCTAGTGGATCATTTTGTTTGGTTTGATTGGAATAAGATTACTCACTAAGTATACAAAGAGGGGGAGTTTTACATTCAAGTAAGATGTCAAATGGGCTTTCAGTTGTGTCCACAAGAGCTGAGGTCTCTCCAGGCCCTTTGCGGCTTAGTTGCATGAAGAGCATATCTAATATCGAATACAATTCCAGGCACTCTTCCAAGTGTTCCACTTGTATTATTTCATTCAATTTTACAGCAACCTTTCAGGTGTCTATTATTAGTACACTTTTGTTTTCCCCCAGAAGAAGAAACTGAGTCATAAAGACCTTAACTTGGGACAATCACGTGTGTAGGAAAGGGGTACCAGGATTCAAACCTGCAGTCGGAAACAGGGTTCTGCAAACTCACTACCGTACTATTCTGTCCCATCCACTGACACCGTACTTCGATTCAGAGAACTTCACGTCCTAACTGTGGCAAAACGACGAATGTGCTTTATTTGCAACACGTGCAGATAAGGACCCTTACTCTATTGGCAAGAGTAAGGCTATCTGGGTGGGAGTTGGGCGGGTCCTGTCTCCTAGGCAACAGCACATGCACACAAGCGACCAATAATGAGCCCCTCTCCAAAGACCCAGGAAGGTGATGTCACTTCCTTCGTCTGGGTGGTTGCCCCAGCGACACGTTGGGCCGAAGAGCGGTGTTGGGTACCCGAGAGACCCGGCGGTGGGGAAGTCACTTCCTCCCGAAGACGCTGTTTCCTAGCAACCGCCCTCCGCCTCTGTTATTAGCCCCTCCTCCTCGCTCGGTCCAGGACCGGCTCTGCGGGCGCCGCCAGGCCCAGACCAAGGTGAGCAGCTCCTACCCGATGCTTGGCTCTTGATTCTCAGGGTCGCGGAGAACTGGCCGCGGGCGTCCGGGGCCGGGAACAGAAAGCGGGACCTGGGGGCCATGGGGGATCCGGACAGAGACCGCGCTTGGACGTGCACGGGCCTGGCGTTCGCTGGTGCTCAGCATACGGCGCGGTGAGGAGCGGCGAGCACCCGGACGTCACCTGGCCTGGTAGGGAACGGAACCCGGGGCGCACAACGCTATGGGCGGCCCTGCCAGGCCTCTGCTCCGAGTACGGGAAACCGCGATTTTAATGCGGCTCATCGCGAAAGCTTCGTCGTTTTGTCTGGCTCTCTTTAACACTTTTGTGAGAGGAAAAATTGGCTTGCAATACATCTCGCTGGCTGTTTGCGGGTTAGCATTACGATCTTTTTCTTTGAATAGCGCTGTATGCAAATATATAGATACATTTTTTTTTTGGTGGTGGTGCTCATAATTTTTACGCCGACGATCCTTTTGATGGCCTTTTAAATAAGACGTGACTTATTTTGAAGGCAATGTTATACTTTAGAAGAGAGGTGAAAAATAAGGTGTTCTATTTTAATTGGCAGCATTTTGTCGTATTAACTTGTAATCATTTATTTGCAGACTTTTTAAGTAGTTGCAAAACTATTTTAGGATAACTTCCATTTGAATTTTTTTAAACAAGCTTGTTATGAGAATTTGCTATTTCTTTACAAGAACCTTTTTAAGTGAAGATGTAGCCCAATGTTCATATCAGATGCTTTTCTTTGACCTTTGTGGGGAGAGTAGAATCAAATGTAATAAAATAAATTCTGAAGCATGCGAAGTCTGATTTGTTTTGTATATTTCAGCTACTATCAGAAGTTGAATTCTAATAATTAGCTATTTTATAAAGGTAACGAGAAAAAATACACTATGTCTGATGAAGTTTTTAGCACCACTTTGGCATATACAAAGAGTCCAAAAGTTACCAAAAGAACTACTTTCCAGGTAAAGTATTTTTATTTGGAATCATTTCACAGTGTAAACACTGTATTAGATGGGTTGAAATTGGTGATTCTAGAACAGTCCTATATAAAGCAGGGGTAAATCTTATATTACTTTTGAGGTTTTGCACATGATCATGTTTGGGCTCCATCCAGTATTACAAACTCCCCTATATGGTTTTAAGACTACCAAAGTAGCCTCAATACTAGTTTCCTACTAAGTTAAAAGTTGAATCGCAACCTTAAATTGCCATTTTTATATAAAAACTTTTTTTTCTGTTGTAACATAATGTTTAAGTTTTTTTTTCTGTTGAGTCACTGCAATTTTGAACTCAGCCTCTAAGTTTGCAATATTGATTGCATCCATTTCTGAAATATGCCGAGACAAAAGCTCTTAAAAATACCAATTTCTTTCAAAATACCAGTTTTTAATAAATTATAATCTAAATTGAGCCCCTTCTTATTTGTTACCCTCCAGCTCTAATTATAACCTGCAATTAATTTGTTCCATAATGTGTGTCTCCTCTAGTTAAACTGCGAGCTCCATGAGGAAGGGCTCTTGTCTGTGATGCTCTGCATTGAGTATGAGGCGTAAAGTGGGTACATGGCATAAAGTGAGCTTGCAGGAAATATTTGTTAGATGAATGAAACCTAAGTTTGAAAGCAGTCGTTAATCAAGCATTGTTTGTTTAAAGAATTACTTGTGAATATGATACCTCCATGTTTGGATGGAAATTGATTTCAGTATCTCATTTCAGGATGAGCTAATAAGAGCAATTACAGCTCGCTCAGCCAGACAAAGGAGTTCTGAATACTCAGATGACTTTGACAGTGATGAGATTGGTATGTGACAGTATGGAAACGTGAACCACTTTTCTTCTTTTTGCTTCCTTAGTTTTGTATTTAGCCAGCCCCCCAACCACCCATCCCCTCAATCACGTATGTTAAAATAATACCTAAGCATTCACTAATTTTAGATTTTCAACTTTTTAATTAGTAGAAAGCCACTCTTAATTTTCAGGAAGTTGTATGATTTTCTTTTTTTATTGTTGTTTTGTTTTCTGAATGTGTATACGAAAATATAAATTAATTGATGGCAGGTTTGCAGTAAAAGGATGGCTGCCAGTGGTAAACCACATTGAAGAAGACAGGTTCATCTTTAAGATCAACCCTAGGAGGTGCTACAGCTAGTTAGTAACTAGTCCCACAGAACTAAACTTCGGTGCACATTAGAAGTGCTTTTATAAAGCTTGCTATAAATCAGATTTTTTTTGGCTGTGATAAGGGGTAAATTTAAAAACCACAGACTCTTCGTGTTTCATATATCAGTACTATTATAATTTGGTTTCTCTTAGCTATGTAAACATATTAACATTTTAGTTTCAGGTATAAGCATACAGAATTCTAAACTTGGTGTTTTTGTTTGTTTGTTTTTGTTTTTGAGATGGAGTCTCGCTCAGTTGCTCAAGCTGGAGTGCAGTGGTGCAATCTCGGCTCACTGCAACCTCCACCTCCCAGGTTCAAGTGATTCTCCTCCTTCAGCCTCCTGAGTAGCTGGGACTACAGGTGCCCGCCACCATGCCCGGCTAATTTTTGTATTTTTAGTAGAGATGGGGTTTCACCACATCGGCCAGGCTGGTCTCGAACTCCTGACCTTGTGATCCGCCCGCCTCAGCCTCCCAAAGTGCTGGGATTATAGGTGTGAGCCACCGCACCCGGCCTGGTGTTTTATTCTTTAAAATTTGGTGAATAATTGTAATTGATTTCTGTAAAACCAGTAATAACCACAGTTAAATCACTGCTGTATAGTTAACTTAGCATTTCTTATGATTCTTAGTAAATCTAATATTCTGGTGTGGATGGAATTGTAGTTCCAAAATTTTTATGGAAAAAATATAATTAGTAATTACTAATTAAATTCTTCCATTTACAAATGTTCTTGATTTTACATGAAGAAGTAATTTGCAAATAAAAGTTTTACAGTCCATAATCTAATTTAAATGCTACATGACTGATTGTTAGGGACCTTTGGATGGCTTTTTCCAGAGCAAACAGTGTTTGGTTGTTTGGTACCCTACAGACAACACAATAAATACATTTTGAATAAATTAATGAAATTGGAATTTTTATTTCATAAATGTTAATGAGACGTGCCTGAGTTAGCTGTGTTTTTAGAGCTGCAAGTCTATTTATAAAATACATTTGTGCCTATTCATTGTTAGAATTTTGTTTGTAGCTTTTAAGGTAAACTTTGATTAAGTTAACGTAACCTTGACAATTTTTAAAAATACTGTTGAAAACATTTTTCTTTTCCATTTTTCAGTTTCTTTAGGTGATTTTTCTGACACTTCAGCAGATGAAAATTCAGTTAATAAAAAAATGAATGACTTTCATATATCAGATGATGAAGAAAAGAATCCTTCAAAACTATTGTTTTTGAAAACCAATAAATCAAACGGTAACATAACCAAAGATGAGCCAGTGTGTGCCATCAAAAATGAAGAGGAAATGGCACCTGATGGGTGTGAAGACATTGTTGTAAAATCTTTCTCTGAATCTCAAAATAAGGATGAGGAATTTGAAAAAGACAAAATAAAAATGAAACCTA
This sequence comes from Homo sapiens, assembly GCF_000001405.40. Taxonomy (NCBI): domain Eukaryota; kingdom Metazoa; phylum Chordata; class Mammalia; order Primates; family Hominidae; genus Homo; species Homo sapiens. The sequence continues at coordinate 155,373,171 of NC_000004.12, read as the reverse complement.
AACCCAGAATTCTTTCAATTAAAAGCACATCTTCAGGTAATTTGTTAGGATTACTGTAATTGCATTTCTTGGAAGTTTATTTTAAGATAATCAGTCCCAAAATTTTTATATGGTAGCTAGTATATATTTAAGAAAAAAAGACAGACTTAACTTCCATTTTACAGACCTGTTGTATTTTGTCTAACTTCAATTTTACAGACCTGTTGTATTTTGTCTAACTTCAATTTTACAGACCTGTTGTATTTTGTCTTGCATCTAGGCTGTTGCCTGATAGAAAGCCAAAGCACAAAGCCAAAGCACCTTTAGTCATCCATAGCATCCATAGCTGTGGATCTCCAGACACCTAGACCTGTGAGCTTCAGTTTTGTTTGTAGGTGTGGAACTGGAATGGAATGCTGTCTAATCCCTCTCACACTCCAAAGATTAGAGTTACAGCAATATTGAGACTAATCCTTCTAACAGTCTTTGCCATACCAACATTGTGCCAGAAAATTTTCTTGACATTTGTATATTTGAAGGATGAGTTATGTTATTGCTGCTGTTGTTTGTTGAAGCATCCAGGCACTCCTTAAGAGAATCTCCATTTGATCTCTGTATTGCCTATGAAAATCTACTAAGATTCAGTTTTCCAAAGGAAAGTTCCTGGTGTGATCTGGGATTACAGTTAGTTCTGCCCACAATTTTACTGAATTTTAAGCATAAAGGAACAAAGATAGAATGAAACGGAGACCAAGTCCTGTCACATACCCTGGGCCACCATTCATGAACTTGTATATGCAAGGTTAAGGATTTTTTGTTTTTCATTCTTTGTATTTTATAAAGGAATTATTAGTTGATGTTAACCTTCATAAAAATCTCCTTGCATATCATCAGTAAATACAGTGCTGGTAAATATTTCATACTTTGCATATTAGATACCAGTGGTAACGTCAGACAAAACTTTATTTCAGGCATGTATTGGGGAACTGCTCCTTTCTTCCTGACCCCACAATCTCATTAACTTTGAAATGAGCAAAGGATGTAAGCAGAGCAAAGAACACTAGAATAATATCCAGGACACTGGGGGAAAGGCCTCTGTATATTATATATGACTTCAGCAAATAAGTTAAGCTTCAGTATCCTCATGATGAGGAAGCTAAAAATAACCCTCTTTCTATTCCTGCAAAATTGTGAGAGTTTATTGAAGTGCATCTCATAAACTATAAAAAACTACAAAAATGCAAACAGATGCATAATGAAACAATTAACTTGTTAAAATGTACCTTCTAAGTATAGTGAGTGAAATCAATGCTGGAGAGAAGAGGAACATAATTGAACTTCGTTATTAAGAAAATGCGAGCATATATAGCAACTAAAAATTTGTCTGAGACAGGTGGATGTATATAATTAGAAGTTTATGGTAGATAATCAGGAAAGCAATAATCCACCTATTTCATACCTTAAAAAAAAAAAAAACCTGTGGTGGGTTACAATGAATAAGAAAATACTGTATTTTAACCACAAGGTGGCATCAGGATCCTAAATGCTCTACTTATATATGCAATGTTATATTCAGTACGTGTAATATAAAAATAATTACCTAAATAGGTAATTGTATACATTGATTACCAAAAAAAGCGCTTTTCTTAAAGTATAGGCATTTTTTTTTCTTTTTGGGAACTTGACAGTACTTCTGGAAGTGGAATTTTTGTAGAAAATATATTAAAGTTGTCATTCTCAGGTTCTTCAGGTTGAAAAGTAAAAATTGAGGCTAGTGTTCCTAAGATAATATCTGGCATATATAATAAGTATTTAAATGAATAAATTAATATATGAATGATTTATCTTTGAAAGAGGGAATATGGTTCATGAGTTTATCCTCTAAATTCTTTGACTTTTTTTTTTTCTGTACAGGTTTGGAACTCAATGTTTTTAATGTGGTGAGATATTGCTGAGTAGCAAGTAATGCTTTATGAAACTATTAGAGCTTGAAGGTTTTCTCTGTCCTTGCTTGTCTTTTGTAAAAAGTATAATAACCAGACTTTATAGTCACTACTGAAGTGACAGTTGCTCTATAAAGTGAAAGTATTTTTCACAGGATATGTTTTTATTTTAATACTAACATGACTGAAATCATGAACTTTGGAGTCAGGATGCTTCTCCTTTAATCTGAGATCTGCAGCCTGCTAGAGTTTGTGACTTTGGGCATGAGACCTCTTTGTTCTCATTTTATTCATCTTTAAAAACGGGATAATAGTTGCCTGCCTCTAGGAGTTTGAGGCAATTAAATGAGTTCACATATTTGAAGTGCTTAGAATAGTACTGGCATAAATTTAGCACTCTATAAATGTTCTGATTATTCATTTTATTATTTAGCGTTTGTTTATAAACATGCTCAGCAGGTATAAAGTATCAGTCATGCGGGATGCGTAAGTTCTAGAGATCTGCTGTACATTGTGCCTATAGTTAACAGTACTGTCTTTTGCACTGAATGTATTAAGAAGGTAGATCTCATGTTTGTTCTTACCACAATAATAAAAAAAATTGACTCAACACCTTCTTTCAGGCATTATATAATATTCTGCTTAAACTGAGGCTCAAAAGACATGCAAGCATTTGTCAGGAGGAGAAGCAGGAAGTGGATATTCTAGGCAGGGGGATCAGCTTAGGTAAAGGTATGGTAGCAGGAGGGATTGGAGGGATTGTGGTATGTGTGCATGACAACTGTTAGCCCAGCATTTCAGAAACACAGATGACAAAATGGCTGTAGATAAGGCAGTGAAGGACAAAACCATAAAATCCGTTTTATGTTGTTTAAAGGCAGTTAAGCTTTTATTCTGTAGGATTGGATCATGGGGAGCCATTGAATAATTTTGTAGAAAGGAGTGATGTGATCTGATTTGGATTTTGTAAATATCATGGAAGCAGTGATCTAGGAAAGAGTGGATAAGGACCCGACAGCAGGGATGTAGAAAGTGGAATAAATGAGATATTTGGCAATTAGAATTGATAGGATATATTGATACTCTGGATTTAGGGGATAATAGAGGGAGGAATCTAGAGCCCTTGGATTTGGGGTTGAACATTTGGCTGGAGTTTAGGATGTAGCTAAAATTGTCAGCTACTTATAATAATACCAATTTGGTATGGTTGTGGAATCTTCTGGCAGAATCCATAAGCCCATTTTTAGGTAAATGGGAGGAAGATGTTAATTAGACCAATTTTGAAGTTGAGAAAAATGCATTTGTAGAACAATAGAAACATAAATATGTATAGCAGGTAAAATGCAGGCAAAAAATATATACATGGAAAGTCTTCCCATTGTTTCGAATACTGGATGCAAATCAGCATTTGATTCTTGATTTAAACTTAGAAGTAATGGAAAGAGTGAAATTTTAATAAATGCTAAAGAAGTTTTATGGACTCAGAACAATTAACTCATAAAAGATTCCTTCCTCTAATGAGAGTTAGCACTCCTATCCCTTGAGTGCCAACATCATCATCTTTGTCCTTATAATAGCACTTATAATCTTAGTAATCTAGTCTTGTAATTTTGTTTAGAAAAATCAACCTGTAAAGTACCTGGACAGGTCCATTGCCGCTTTGTTGATTATGAGGTTTAGTAACGTGTACAGGGCTTGGTACTCAAAGGCTTGATGGATGAGCCTCCTCATTTTATAGTGGTAGAAACTGGGGCAAGATTTTGTTTTGTTTTTTTATTTTTAACATTTTTTTTTTAATATTATAAGAGTTCACAATGTTGAAGAGTTAACTTCTTGTGACTGGTTACTTTCAGGATGACAACTGTTTCTTTACTTTGTTTTTTTTTTGTTGTTGTTGTTGTTTGGTTTTTTTTTTTTTTTTAGATGGATTTTTGCTCTTATTACCCAGGCTGGAGTGCAGTGGTGTGATCTCGATCTCGGCTCACTGCAACCTCAGACTCCTGGGTTCAAGCAATCCTCCTGCCTCAGTCTCCTGAGTAGCTGGGATTACAGGCACGCGCTACTAAGCCCGGCTAATTTTTTTGTATTTTTAGTAGAGACAGGGTTTCACCGTGTTAGCCAGGCTGGTCTCGAACTCCTGACCTCATGATCTGCCCACCTCGGCCTCCCAACGTGCTGGGATTACAGGCGTGAGTCACCGCTCCCAACATGTCGGGATCACAGGCGTGAGCCACCGCGTCCGGCCTGATTATTAACCATCATTTATTTGTGCCTTACTAGAGCTCTGTATAGAGAAGAGTTGTGGGCTTCATCTGGACTCTTCAGGACAGAGAACAAAGGGGCATAGGCACAGGAGGGAAGTATGGTAGCACCCAGAGAGATAGATAAAGCCATGGTCATTTTTTTATACACACACTTTAAGCATTTTATTTTTCAGCAGAAAACAACAGCCTTGACACAGATGATCACTTTAAACCATCACCTCGGCCAAGGAGTATGTTGAAAAAGAAAAGTCACATGGAGGAGAAGGATGGACTAGAAGATAAAGAAACTGCCCTCAGTGAAGAATTGGAGTTACATTCTGCACCTTCTTCCCTTCCAACGCCGAATGGCATACAATTAGAAGCTGAGAAAAAAGCATTCTCTGAAAACCTTGATCCTGAGGTTAGCACTACCACTAAACTGTTGAATTGTGTTCTTGAATTTATGCTTTTTTATCTGATTATGAAAAAGAGAAGGAGAGAATGAATTTGTGTGCGTGTGTGTGTGTTTTACATACTTTCTTCTGCAACTGATAAGGAAATAATTTTTAAAAATACACTGTATTCCACCGAGTCTAAAACTGCATCAATTGTAAGACGTAGCATTATTTTACATACCACTAAGGAAGAAGGAAATGCATCCAATTAAACTATAACACACCAGTGATTGTAGAGTTTATCCAGTTTTAGAGAAAGTAAAATGTCAAAAAGTGTTGCTTTTCTGAATCTATATAATAGTGTTTATCTTTAATAATTTTTTAAATTTATGTATCTTTGAATTATGTAATTTATGGCTAAGAACAATATAGTCAGTGTCATTTTATTTATTTGATTTTATTCACTCAACAAATGTGTGTTGAATGTTCATGGCACTCTTCTGTGTTCTTTGGGTTATGTTCCAATAGCATTAAATGTGGCCTTTCAGGTTTCCATCAGGGAATTTACTATGCATTGTTATTAAGGGAGAACACTTCGTTTTTCTCTTTGTATTTCACTATGAGAAGCAAACTGTCCCTTCTGAACATTTCAGAAGGGAAAAGTACAGGAAGAACATTTCTTCCCCATAATCTGCTTGGGCAGATTAGGGAACTGCATGCCACCTGGCCAAGCTTCTTTCTTTTTCTCATCGCTTGTCTGCAGTGTTGGTGCTTAAGGATCTGCTCTCTGGGAGGTGAGGCAGAAGGTGCTGAGAGGAGCTCTTTTGTGCAATGACTAAATGGGGGAATCCCCCTAATTCAGACTGGAAGTATTAGGAAGCACAATAGGCTACCAATTCAAATCTTGTTCTGCAGTTGAGCTTTACCAGTAAAGCTGACAATTTGATATACGCCTAACTGACACCACCATGCTGTTTCTTAATTTGTTCTGAAAACCAGAAGAAGAAACCCAAGCAAATACTTTATATTTAAGAAAATTATCTGATCCATTGAATATTGTGCTAGTTTCTTGTAGCTGCTGTAACAAATTGCCACAAACTGGTTAACTTAAAACAACAGAAATGTATTCTCTTAGTTCTGGAGGTCAGAAGTCCAAGATCAAGGTGTTTGCAGGGCCATTTTCCTCTGAAGGCATCACGGAAGAATCCTTCCTTGCCTCTTCCAGCTTCTTTCTAGTGGTTGCCAGCAGTCCATGGCATTCCTTGGCTTGTAGCTGGCTTGTAGCTGCATCATTCCCTTCTCTGCCTTCATCCCATGTGGCCTTCTTCCCTGTGTTTTCTCTGCATGTCTGTGTCTCTTCTTTCTCTTAAAAAAAGACACCAGGCATTGGATTTAGGGCCCACCCTAATTGAGTGTGTCCTCATCTTATCTATTTAAAGCTGTAAACACCTTATTTCCTAAGAAAGTCGTATTTTGAGGTTCTGGATGAACATGAATTTTGGGGCATTAATGTTCGTATGTTAAACCTAGCATTCCCGGGATAAACTCTGGTTAGTCATGGTGTGATATTTTATTGTGGGATGTGATTTGTTAAAATTGTGTTAAGGTTTGCATCTATATTTATGAAGTCTATTGGTCTGTAATTTTTTTCTTATAATGTTACCATCAGGCTTGGGTATCAAATGAGTTGGGGAGTGTCTTTTCTTCATTTTATAAAAGTTTGGTATCATTATTTTCTTAAATGAGAGGATTCACCAGTACAATTATCTGGGCCTGGAATTTTCTGTGTGGAGACATCTTTGGCATTACATTTGATTTTTTAAATAGGTATTTCAGTACTCACATTTTCTGTTTTGCCAGTTTGGTAATTGTGTCTATCAAGAAGTTTGTCCATTTCATCTGATATGTTGAGTTTATAAACAGAGTTGTTCACGATAGTCCCTCATTCTTTTGATGACTAGGATTATCATGACATTTCATTTTTATTTCTAACATATATAATTTGTGTTTTGTGTCTTTCGTGCTAAATCTTGATAGGCATTGCTTAGTTTTATTAAACGTTTTTAAGAACCACTTCGGCTTTGTCATATGTTGGTGCAAAAGTAATTGCAGTTTTGGCCATTACTTTCAATGACAAAAACCGCAATCATTTTGCACCAACCTAATAATTTTCTCTATTGTTTGTTTAATTGATTTTCAGTATTATTTCAGTATTATTCAGTATTATTTCTTTTACTTTCTTTTTTTTTTTTTGAGACAGAGTCTCGTTCTATCGCCCAGGCTGGAGTGCAGTGGTGCAATCCCAGCTCACTGCAAGCTCTGCCTCCCAGGTTCACTCCATTCTCCTGCTTCAGCCTCCCGAGTAGCTGGGACTACAGGCACCCACCACCATGCCTGGCTAATTTTTGTATTTTTAGTAGAGACGGGGTTTCACCGCGTTAGCCAGGATGGTCTCGATCTCCTGACATCGTGATCCACCCACCTCGGCCTCCCAAGGTGTTGGGATTACAGGCGTGAGCCACGGCGCCTGGCCTCTTTTACTTTCTTTTGGTTTAATTTGCTTATCTTTAGATTTGAAAATTTTCTCATTCATTTTTAAGATTTTCGTGATTTCTGCTAAACCTGTTGAAAGGTGTAAACTTTCTTCTTTGTACTGCTTTAGTGGCCCCGATTTTTTGATGCCTTTTATTTTTATTATCATTTCTTTAAATATATATTTTAACTTCCCTTGTGATCTCCTGTTTTAAAAATTTATTTTTTTAGTTGAAAAATAATAATTGTACATGGGGTACATAGTGATTTTTCGATACATATAATATATAGTGATCATTGTGATCTCTTTTTTGACCAGTTGGTTATTTTATGGTGATTTATTTTATTTTCAAATACTTGTTTTTTCTCTAGATATACTTTTGATGTTAATTATAAGTTAATTTTGTTGTAGTCTAGAGAATGTATCTTACATGATTTCAAATTTTTAAAAATTATTATTATTATTTCTAAATGGCCCAGCTTTAGTGTATCTTGTGAAAGTCTCATTTGCATCTGCAAAGTAGATGTGTTCTCCAGGTGTTGAATATAATGTTGTATAATTTAAGTTTGGTCAACATGGTTGGTAATATCATTCAGATCTTCTTTATCCTTACTGATTTTTCATCCAATTTGTTTACCCGTTACCAACTTAGGGGTATTAAAATATCCAGTTATGTTTGTGGGTTTGTTTATACTTCTCTTTAGTTCTGTCAGTATTTTATAACTTTGTTATCAGGCACATACACATTTATTATTATTATGTTTTGAGCATTATGAAACGTCTCTACCTCTGGTAATATTCCTTTCCTTATCTTATAGATTGTTTTGTGTAATACTTCAGCTTTCTTATGACAAGTGTTTCCATGGTATATGCTTTCTATCTTTTTTCTTTCAAACTAATTCTGTCTTTTCATGTAAGTGAATCTCTTACAATAAGAGTTTGGTGTCACTTTTTTATTAAGTCTGACAATCTATGCCTTTTAATGTAGTGTTTAGTCCATTTATGAATGTTTTGTCCATTTAATGTAAATACTGCTATGATTGGATTTAGGAGCAATTTGTTGCTCTTTATTTTCTATTTATCTGTTTTTTAAAATTATTGTTTTTATTGTTGTTTCTCTGTTACTCCTTTCTTGCCTTTTTTTGAGGAGATAATCATGAATCTTTTAGTTTTTTATTATTATTGACCTTTTATCTATATTTGTTTGCATTGTATTTCTCAGAGTTGATCAGTGGATTACAGAATATATCTGAAAATTATCACAATCTATTTAGAATTGATATTGTATTGTTTCACATTTGATCTAGAAACCTTGGAATAATATAGTTCCATATACTCCCTCATCCATTGTGCTATTGTCATATATTATATCTACATATCCTATAATCCCCACAATAGAGTTATAACTTTTTCTTAAAGAGCCCTTTCAGTTTTTTGTATTAGACTTTTAAAAAATTAAAGAAGGCTAGAATAAATATATATTATATATCTACTGTATTATATATTGTATATATTATAGATAACATTCTATTGCTAAATATAGATAATATATATTTGTAGACAATATCTATATATAGGTAATATATATTCTATTCTTATATATTATATAGATATATAACATCTATATAATCTATTTATAGATATTACATATCTATAAATACATATACAATTTCTAGGGATCTTCATTTCTTCCTGTAGATTCAGATTACCATTTTGTGTCCTGTCAGTCTTACAAACTTATTTTACATTTCTTGTAATACAGGTTTACTAGTGATGGATTTTTCTCAGTCTTTGCTTTTCTAAAAGTATTTGTCTCATCTTTGTTTTCAAATGGTGGTTGATGTGATTGTATTCTTCTTGTCTAACAGTTGCCTTCTTCTACCTCCAGCTCTTTATAGGTTTCCATTTTTATTGGCCTCTCTTGTAATCATTCATTTCATTGTCCTCTCTATATAATGTGTTGATTTTGTCTGAATGCTGTCAGGAATTTTACTCAAGATTGTGGTTTTTATCTTTTGATTACAGCAATTTGACTGCATGGTGCCTGGGTCTAGCTTTCTTTATGTTTATTCTGCTTGACGTTTGTTGAGCTTTCCAAACCTATAAGCTGATACTGTCTGTGAAATGGGAAGATTGTTATTTCCCACCCTATTTTTCATCCTCTCCTTTTGGTACTGTAGTTACACATGCATTGAAATTTGTGCTATATCTCACTGATCTCTGAGATTCTGTTTATATTTCTTAAATCTTTTTTCCTCTTTGTTTTTAAGATTGAATAACTTGTATTACTTAGTCTTCACGTTTACAGATTGTGGTCCGGAGAATGTATCTTTTATGATTTCAAATTGTATTAAATTATTTTGTTTTGTTTTAATGGCCCAGCAAAAGGGTATGTCGTGAGAGTTCCATTTGCAGTTGCAAAGTATGTGTGTTTTCCAGGTGAATTTTTTATTTCACTTATTGTGGTGTTCAACTTCAGATTTTCTATTGGTATTTTTTCTGTTTTTTAATATAAAATCCCCCATCTTTTCAGCCATCATGCATATATTTTCCCCAAAGTGCTTGAACATATTTATATTAGCTATTTTAAAGTCCTTGTCTGCTAACTCTAAAACGTGAGTCATCTCTGGGTTGGTTCCTATTGACCATTCTCTGTTTTTTTATTTTGTTTTTTAAATAAGTGTCACCATTTTCTGTTTCTTTAGTGACTTTTGATTGAATACCGGGTGTTCTGAATGATATTTTGTAGAGATTCTGTATTCTTTTATGTCCCTTCAAACATATTTTCTAGCAAGTGGATATCATGGCTGGACACAAATTCCCAATCCTGTTTCTCCTGCAGTGGATATCAGCTGAAATTTCTGCTTAATTCTTTTCAGTTTCTAGCTTCTATGCTTTTACAGGATCCTCTGAGGTCTCCCTTATGCCACAAATAGAGGTGGTAAAGGTTTTTGGTGAATTTCATATGCAGATTTTGTGGTCACTGTCCTCTGCTATTTTCCACATACTTATTGGCTGATCTGATGGTCCTAGACTCAGTCCCCTGTTCCCTCAAGTCATTCCACCAAGGCTGTAGCCTTCTATTACTTGAGCTGCATAGACTGGAGAATGCCTTCTGGCAAAAAGCTACTAATTTGCAGATCTCCTCAGGTGAAGCTTTATCTTTCAGGGTAGACTCCAGTGTCTCAGCACTTCTTCCATTTTCTCAAATGTTTTCTCTCCATTGCTTTTGACATATAATTTCCTTTGCACCCATAAAATACTGCGGAGAAAGAAAATTAAAGTATTTGTACAACAAAGTTGAACTTCCTACATTGTAATATCATTACCTTTAGGCTAGATGATTCTATGAAGAAATGTTTACCTTAGATAGACAAATATAATTATTTCATATCAGATAGAATTTTCAGAATTTTGAGGAAAACTCAAGTGCATGCAATCTATGTGCTTTTCCTATCTAAAATATTTGGAAGTAGCGGCTTACTTGATTTTATTAAATGCTTTCATTTGGATAACTAGTAATATTTGCTTGGAACTAAAGTATTTTACCTGTCTTCTTTATGCTTTCCTTCAAAGGATAATTGTAGGAAGAGCTATCAAAATCAAATCTTGGCCTTAAATATTTATAAGAAATGTGATTATTAAGTAATAGGAGTTTTGAAAATTGGTAAAAAATAAATAGAGAGGTGGTGGTAGTTAAAGAACTTGAATAACTCTTTCAGTGACCCCTTTTAATGACCAAGACATCAAGGCTTGAAAGTAAAGCATGCTTACCTCCATTGGCTTGTCACACTTTGCGTTTCAGCAACAAATGCCTAAATAATGCAGATTTCAGAGTTATGCACTATTTCAATTTGTAGTTTTAATAATGCTATTGTTCCCATAAATGTTAATTATTAAACTTATGTGGCAAATGTATTTTTTTTTGCGAAAACAGGATTCATGCTTAACAAGTCTAGCATCATCATCACTTAAACAAATTCTTGGAGATTCTTTTTCACCAGGATCTGAGGGAAACGCATCTGGAAAAGGTGGTTATATCTAATAATTATATCTTATATGTGAACTCTGTACTACTTAGACTCCTGTTTGTAAGAGAAATAATACTTTGTATAGTTATAAGAGAAATATATGTTTTTATGTGTTTGAGTTTTAATCCTGACTATGTAGTTAACTAACTGTGATTTTGGATGCAGAACTTAATCTCTCAGTGCCTCAATTTCCCTAAGTTATATTATTTGTCTCATAAGGTTATTGTGAAAATTAAGTGATATAGTGCATTTTAGCCATTAGCCTAGTTAATAGCCCAAGTGGAGTGAGCACTTAAGGTAAACTACTGTTATGTATGTGTTGCTGTGATATTCTGCAGGACAACATAATAGCTAGGTGGAATTTTAAAGTGAGACTAAGCTAGATTCCAATACAGGCACAATTACATAAGCAAAGTAACTAACCTTTCTGACCCTGTATGTTGATCTTTAAAATGGGTAAAATAAGAGTAATTTGCCTTATAGGGTGTTGTAAGAATTAAACATGTAAAGCATTTACAGCAATACCATAGTAAGCACTTGGTGTGATATGTGAATTGTTAACATAATTTCTTTTCTTAGTGATACGTAGCTTAATGAAACCTAAAAGACATAGCTATTTCTAGGTCTGAGATGTGTAATGAACATTTTAGTGCTTACTATGTAGTATCATTTTTGTCATTTTACAGATGAGAAAAGCTGAAGTGCAGTGACTTAGGGAAACATACCCAAGGTCAGTGATGGAACCATAGTTAAATCTTGAGTTCCAAAGTTCTTGTTCTTTTCACTGAACAGATTAACAGCTCCAAAGAATCCAATAGTGAATTGAGTGATTTTAAGCCCATGTTACCTCAAAACAAATTCCAAAAAAATGGTCATAATGAAACCAACAGAATTAAGACTTTTCACAGTAAAGATTCAGGTTTAGCTGCAAGGTGGACGTTGGTAGAACTGAAAGTTGGTGATCCCATTCCAAAATGTGGTAAAATCAGAATAGTAGAAGCAATTCTATAAATGCAAAACTGAATCTTCTTATGCCAGAGCTTGAGCCTGTTTCTTGGAGCACTGAGAGGATAAGCAATAGGCTTGTCTTTATTGCCCCTTATGGTATCAGAGGAAGTACTACATCTTGGTGAGATGAAACTCACTAGAGACTGTGTAAAATTGCATTAATTCTTGGTTCTTTCTGCAGCTATACAATTCAACAATTGTACTACTAGTAACTGTAGTAGCCTAGAGAGGTGTGACACCTTCTTATGCAGCGTGTTGTTCCAGCTAAGAAACTCAGGCTTTAGAGTTAAACAAATATTGTCATCTCACTTACTTGGTTTGTATATCAACAAGCTCTTTTGACATGTCGTTGTTTTAGGGTAGTTATTCCATTCTGTTTATTAATATGCTATTTTTCTAAGTACTAGATTTGTTAAGTGCTTCATTAGTTAAGCCTAGACTATTTTTTTTTGTAAATCACTTTCGAAAAGAGTTTATGCAAGTTTAATATGATAACTTTTCTTCATATTTTGCAAGAAAAAAGAGTTTATAGATAGTCCTCATTTAAAAGAAAGCAAATGAATCAAGTATTTACCTTATTAATTCAGAAGGGGGTTTTAATGCTATTACTCTGTCTCAAAATAGATCCAAATGAAGAAATCACTGAAAACCATAATTCCTTGAAATCAGATGAAAATAAAGAGAATTCATTTTCAGCAGACCATGTGACTACTGCAGTTGAGAAATCCAAGGAAAGTCAAGTGACTGCTGATGACCTTGAAGAAGAAAAGGCAAAAGCGGAACTGATTATGGATGATGACAGAACAGTTGATCCACTACTATCTAAATCTCAGAGTATCTTAATATCTACCAGTGCAACAGCATCTTCAAAGGTATTTGTAAAAATTCATACTTTTCATACTACAGCTTAAAACTTGAAATAGAACTTTAAGAAATTTTATCTTCTGTGTTATATACTTCTGAATTACCAGTGGAAAATTTATCTTTTGATAGTGATATTGTATTGTCACATGGTTCTTACTTAATCCAATAAAATTTAACTTTAAGGAAAGTTTGTAGTGAATATAATGAAACCCAGTGTTTAAAAATTATCAGAGGTGTGTGATCATAATATACTTTTAAATGTCTCAGAAATGCATACTCATAGTGTATATATTTCCATAGGTCTTCATATTTTAAAAATATAACTGTCTGGAATAATTTCTGAGATTTTAAATTAGAGTTATGTTTTTGGATATTGTTTTAAAACGTGTTAACAATTTTAACAAAAATCTTAAAGAAATGTTTATCAACAGTTTATCAACATCTGTGCTTCTTTAAAATAGATGGTTATCATCAGGAACATTAGTATTATTATTCGTATTTGATCCTTTGCCTTTATTTCCTAATTTTCAAAATAATGAACTGGTGCCCTGGCAACCTCCAGAGGTGATGAAGTTGCTTTGTTTTTTCTTTTTTCAATTCATGTAAATTTAATGGTTACAAGTGCTTTTTTGTTACATGGATATATTGTGTAGTGGTAAAGTCAGACTTTTAGTATAAACTAAAATGTACATTGTACCCATTAAGTAATTTCTCATCCCGCACCTCCCTCTCACCTTTCCTAGTCTCCATTATCTATTATTCCATACCCTATATACATGTGTACACATTATTTAGCTCTGACTTGTAAGTGAGAACATGTACCATTTGACTTTCTGTTTCTGATTTATTTCACTTAAGGTAATAGCCTCCAGTTCCATCCATGTTGTAAAAGATATTATTTCTTTTCTGTGTGGCTGAATAGTATTCCTGTGTGTGTGTGTGTGTGTGTGTGTGTGTGTGTGTGTATACACATTTTCTTTATACAATCATATGTTGATGTACACTTAGGTTGATTCCATATCTTTGCTATTGTGACTAGTGGTGTGATAAACATGAGTGCAGGTATCTTTTTTATATAATGATTTATTTTCCTTTTGGCAGATACTCACAGTGGGGTTGCTGGATTGAGTGGTAGTTCTATATTTAGTTCCTTAAGAAATCCCCAAACTATTTTCCATAAAGATTGTACTAATTTACATTCTTACCAAGAGTATACAAGCATTCCCTTTTCTCTGTGTTCTCACCAACATCTGTTACTTTTTTAACTTTTTAATAATAGCTAAATATTCTGACTAGTATAATATATCTCACTGTGGTTTTAATTTGTGTTTCTCTGATGATTAGTGATGGTGAACATTTTTTTTCATGTTTCTTGGCCACTTGTATGTCTTCTTTTCAAAAAGTCTATTCATGTTTTTTGCCCTCTTTTTAGTGGGGTTATTTGTTTTTTGTTGTTGTTGTTGAGGGGAACATTATTATTATAACCTTAAGAAACAGATATGTAATATGTAGGATTACTTGTCCCTACATTAAATTGTGCCTGAGTGCTATACTTTAAAAATTTATGGTGTAGCATTTTCAGTCTTTGTTTCTCCTGAATTTGTCATTATCTCTTGTAGCTGCAATTAGCTAGCAGCTCTGTGTGTTTATTATCAGCGGAAGAAAACAGGGCTAGCTGAAAATTTGTGTTTGAGCAATACTTTTATAACATAAAATACAAGCTTTTCTTAAAATTGATGAAGGAGGTTCATTAAGCCATGTTCCAGGTATATCATCCTTAGCTAATTTCTTTAGGAAAAAAACACTACTGCTAAGTTAGGGATGTGTTTATTATGTCTGTGCTCTCACTTTACCACTAGCACCCATCAGTCTGTGTAAAGTAGAAAAGTTGTTCCTTAAAAGAAGAAAGGATATTCCGGAGTTTATAGACAGGATTGTAGAATGTCTAATAGAGGCAATTCTAAATTAGAACAGGCATTTCATATGTAACAAGTAAGGTTGTAACTTGTTTCTTTTGACTGGACCCTTGGCCTCATTCTTACTCTCTACTGAATGACCTTTTCTAAACAGAAATATAATCATTCTCCATTAAAGTCTTTTTGTTGGTTTCTCATCACAAGAATTCCATCCAGACTCCTCATCGCTGCCTAGTGATCTCACCTGGTTCTTCCCTGACCACGTCTTCCTCCGCTTTCCCTGCCATTCACTATGCTTCAGCTCCATTCACCTCTTTCTGTTTTTCAGAGATAACAGGTTCCGTCCCTTCTCAGGCTTTTACCCACTTGCTGTTTCTTTCTTTCATAGACCTTTCGGTGGGCCCTTTGCACTCTTAGCTCTGATGTCAGCCCCTCAGGACAGCCTTCCCTGACCAACTTCTTTAAAGCAGCTCCTCAGCCCCACTCTAGTCATTCTCTGTCACTGCACACTATTTTATGTCCTTCATGAGCCATGTTTGCTTATATATTTATTTTTGGTCATCCGTCTCTAGAATTTAATATTCTTAAGGGCATTTTATTCACTGATTTGCTCCCAATTTCTACTGTGTTTGACACATAGTAGATGCTTAAAGAATAGTGATTTACTGGCAGTTTGGCTTCTAAGCCTAAAAAGGATAGTTGTCATGAATAAATCATCTTTGGCATTTTCTGTTTAATAGAAAACAATTGAAGATAGAAATATAAAGAATAAAAAGTCAACAAATAATAGAGCATCCAGTGCATCTGCCAGGTAATAAAGTTACCAATATTTGTCATTTATGGGCTTGCATTCTAGCAAAGCTAGTTTTAATTTAACTTTCATAAAGTAAATTTCATTTGGTGTTACTGTATTTTCTTTTTATTTCCATTTCATAAAATGAAAGTAGTTAACTTCATGATAAAACCCCTTGGTTGATGATATTATTTGAAATAAAGTAATTTATAAAAAGTAAGTCTATTACTGATTGTTTTAGTGCCTGGAATGTTTATGCAATACCTTTGCTCTCCAGGATCGTCCTAGGAATATTTTTCTTCTTTCTTAATGTCAGTGATTAGGGATTCTTTGTGCTCCAGACTGCTTCTGGAATAGAGCTTCTTTCTCCTACTTTTCCTGAGACAAGCAATATAAAATGGTAATAAAGCTGAAGTCTAGCAATGATACTTATTCATTATCAAGTATCATTGTCTAACATGAGAAATTGTACTGAAAGCCTTCAGAATCTATGAACTAAGTAGGTTTATTAAAATGATTATCTGTATAGCTTCATTCACACCAATGATAATGAATGCCTAACTCATAAGTGCTAATCAAAAACCTTCTGAATCTTTAAAATTATCGTTAGTCAAATTATCATTAATCAAATAAAACAGAGCTAGCAAGCTTTTTCTGTAAATGGCCAGTTAGTGCATATTTTAGGCTTTGTAGGCGATACAGTCTGTATTGGAACTACTCATTTCTGCTATTTTAACAGGAAAGCAGCCACAGGCAAAACTTAACATGAATGATTACAGCTATGGTGCAATAAACTTTGTATATCAAAACCAATGGCTGGCCAAATTTTCCCACCAATCCCTGATATAGATAGTACTATTCTTTCTAATTTTATATTTGGAATGCTTCATGTAACAAAATGATGAAAGAAAATATTAAAAGAGTGATTATAACCTACTGTATTGTTTTTTCCATGTAACTTGAGAAGTGGTCCATATTTCTTAAGTTTCTAATTACAAATATTTAAAAAGAGCAATCATTTTAAAGCTATATAACTTAAAGTTATAAAATTTAAATTATGTTGAAGGGGACATATTTAAGTTATGTCCCCTTCTACATAATTTAATATTCTTTGTATACTAAGACTGTACATTTTACCTACATCATTTTCAAAGTAATTATAATTTGTTAAATTATAATGTAGTTTCCAATTTTTTTTTTGAGATGGAGTCTCACTCTGTTGCTCAGGCTGGAGTTCAGTGGCATGATCTCTGCTCACTGCAACCTCTGCCTCCTGGGCTCAAGCTATCCTCCCACCTCAGCCTCCAGGGTAGCTATGACTACAGGCATGTGCCACCACGCCAGCTAATTTTTTGTATTTTTGGTAGAGACAGGGTTTCACCATGTTGCCCAGGCTGGTCAACAGCCCAACAGGATGAGCTCAAGTCATCCACCCACTTTGGCCTTCCAAAGTGCTGGGATTACAGGTGTGAGCCATCATGCCTGGCCAGTTTTCAAATATTATACGTGCATATTCTAACAGATCTCTCTTCTACCAAATGCAATTGTAATATTTTGTCTTGATTCATTTGGATCTTTTCAGATTAATGACCTCTGAGTTTTTGAAGAAATCTAGTTCTAAAAGGAGAACTCCATCGACAACTACCTCTTCTCACTATTTAGGGACTTTAAAAGTCTTGGACCAAAAACCTTCACAGAAACAGAGCATAGAACCTGATAGAGCAGATAACATAAGGGCAGCTGTTTATCAGGTAAAAAAGGAAAATATTTTTAAGAGAAGAAGAATGATCACTTTCATAAGCCTACACTGTTTATAAAGAATAAAGTAATCCTGATAGAAAATGATGGTTTAATACTTAAATTTATTGAGAAAGAGTTTCCTTTTAATACATGAGTAATCATATTTTACTAAATTATTTGCTTCCACACTTTGCATAACTGACCATAGTTGTTTTTAAAGAAAGAATATGCCATTGCAATTTATAGAAATACAGCACAAGCCAAAACATTGTAAAGTCTATATATGTTTTCATTTTTTTCTTCTTGAAGTTTATATGAACAAAAGGAGTTATTATGAACAAAAAGTTATTAAATTTTTTCTTTCCTGAGATGTTGTTAGGCGTACATAGGAAAAAGATTGTATTAATTTATTCACAATTCTAAAAGTCTTTTTTTGTCTTTTTTAGAGTAGAATAGTATACTTTAGAAAATTGTACATGTGAATTTCAGAGAAAATGTTAATATAAAGAATTCTAATTCACTTAAGAAATTTTAAATATTATATGACCTTTTTCTTGTTCTTATAGGAGTGGTTAGAAAAGAAAAATGTGTATTTACATGAAATGCACAGAATAAAAAGAATTGAAAGTGAAAACTTAAGGATCCAAAATGAACAGGTATTCTGACATATAGAAGTAAAAATGTTTTGGATTTTTATTTCAGTAAAATATCCCTGAATATATAACTTTTCTAAATCAGCTTTTTAAATGGCAAAATAACTTGTATATTAAAGAAATGATTTCCGGTTTTACTTCTGTTTTACTTTATACATTTTAGTTTGATATAACTGTTTTACATGAAAACAGATTTTAATTTTGTATATGTATAGGATAGCTTTGTTCCTGCTGATTATGAAGTTATTATTGTTTATGAGCACCTAATTCACTTTTAAAAGTTGATTTCATTTAGAACTTAACCAAGAAGGCCAGGTACTGTGGCTCATGCCTGTAATCCCAGCACTTTGGGAGGCCAAGGCAGATGGGATTCCTTGAGGTCTGGAGTTCGACACCAGCCTGGGCAATGTGGTGAAACCCCATCTCTACTAAAAATACAAAAATTAGCCAGGGATGGTGGTGGGCACCTGTAATCCCAGCTACTCAGGAGGCTGAGGTGGCAGGATCACTTGAACCCGGGAGGCGGAGGTTGCAGTTAGCTGAGATCGTGCCACTGTACTCCAGCCTAGGTGACAGAGACTCTGTCTCAAAAAAAAAAAAAAAGGCACGACAAGATAAAGGATCATTAGACACTAGTTAGCCTTCAATTTTCCTCTTTTCTCTCTTGAATTTTATAAGTATCTTCAAGTCCAACCCCTACCTGAACTCTTGATCTGTATCCTTTCCCATTGAATGGAGGTGAACTTTTGTTCCTGTCTCTTCTGTACTGAGTCTCTTCCTCTAACTCCTGCTTGTAATACGCTCAGTTATTTCTTATCTTCTAAAGTCAAACTTCTGGACAAAAACTCCAGTGTGCTGTTCAATACTAAAAATAGATTTAGAAGAAAAATATTTTCCAAGGTGAACTGCACGATAATGCGTCAGTAGTGAAGGGAGCAGCCCTCCAGGGGGCGTGCCTGTCTATCTGTTAACCACGTTCATAGCAGTATGCTGCTGTGGTCAGTGCCATACCCCTTCTCATTTGATTTTCGTAGCTCTGTGAGGTAGATAGTACTTTGACCTCTAAATTATGTTACCCCAATATTAAGGTTTTATGTCATTTAATATTGAACAATAAAGCAAACATAGAATATTATGGGATTAGATTGAAGGAAGTAAAATAATAACATAACTTGCTATACAGTCTCCAACCTATTTTTCAGTCGAGCACATACTTTCAACATTTGGAATACATTTGTGCAGTAAGAACTTTATGTTTTGATACTATTCAAAATTAAGATTTAAACCAAAAATCTGCATCTTACTGCATGGCTTGGCCAATTTGCCTTACTCTAACTTACTTTATAAGCCCATAACTTTACTGATTTTTTTTTCAAATATTTTATTATGAAAATTTTACTATACCACTTAGCCTATTACAGTTTATTTTGATATAATTTGTTTAGTACACTTTCAAAAATAATAGTTGACATCTTTCTCATTAATAGGTCAATATGTGATAAATGTTTTTAGAAAAGGACGTTTTAAAACCAATGAATAATTCAGATAACATTCTTTGTAAATTATCTAAGCCATTCTAAATAAATTACCTACTTTGAAAGTTAATTTCTAAGTATAATGAATATCAGAGGACTAAAGATAAATGTATATGTGTATATTTATATCTAGCCATATTTGTGTCTATGTATATATACATATATATGTATATCACTCTATTATTTTTTCCACTGTAGAAAAAAGCTGCTAAAAGAGAAGAAGCATTAGCATCATTTGAGGCCTGGAAGGCTATGAAAGAAAAGGAAGCAAAGAAAATAGCTGCCAAAAAGAGGCTTGAAGAAAAAAACAAGAAGAAAACTGAAGAAGAAAATGCTGCAAGAAAAGGAGAAGCACTACAAGTATTCAGAACTTTGCACATCTTAATTATTTTAAAACATTTGAAATCCAAATTAATGATTAACCATATTTTTATTTATTTTCAAATATTCACAGTAAGAAAATTATTCTGAACTTTTTCAGGCTTTTGAAAAATGGAAAGAGAAAAAGATGGAATATCTTAAAGAGAAAAATAGAAAGGAGAGAGAATATGAAAGAGCAAAGAAACAGAAAGAGGAGGAAACTGTTGCCGAGAAAAAGAAAGATAATTTAACTGCTGTTGAGAAATGGTAATCCAAAATCATAAATATTTTGATATATTTTAAATTATAGTAACACTTCAGGATTTTATAAAATTTATTTACTTGAAATTTAGTAATGCATTTCAATTTCATTACTGTCAAAGATGTACTAGGGAATCTTTATTATGTATTTTCCTTTAACTCTCCAGTGTTTTATACTATGCTCTATAGGAATGAAAAAAAGGAAGCTTTTTTCAAGCAAAAGGAAAAAGAAAAAATAAATGAGAAAAGAAAGGAAGAACTGAAAAGAGCTGAGAAAAAAGATAAAGATAAACAAGCTATTAATGAATATGAAAAATGGCTGGTAGGTATTATTTGTCAATGCACTTTCGTCTTTTTCATGTACCTTTTGTGTCTTTTCTGTCCCTAATTCTAATTCTATTTGCTCCAGACCTACTGATCATTTCTACCTGGAATCTGCTTTGTTGAATTCAAGCTCTCCTCCTGCATATAGCATATTTTCTTTGACTTAGTCATTTCTATTAATGTTTCTACTATTCCCTCAAACACCCAGGCTGAAAACTTGTTATAATCTTCTTCCTTACCTGCATCCCCACATTTACCATTTACTATTCATGCCCATTCTTCCTTTGCTGTGATTCTCACATCTAACATAGAAAGAAGACAAGTTTACTATTGAGGGTACTACGTGGTGGAACTTGGTCATGACAAAAAGTAACACTGAACTTAATAGTGAGAAAATTATTCCATCTTTTATTCTCTTTTGATGTTTCTGATGACCTCAAGGAGAATCTCTTATTTAGGAATTTTTAATGAAAGAGAGCAGGTTTGAGGTTTAGGAGGAGCAATAGCTAGCTGAACCAGATATGTGTATATATTTGATTTCACTTTACTTATCTTTATAAAAGTTACTTTTTGTTGATGTCAAGCAAAATATTATTTTCCATTTTAGAATATCAATATAAATATGCATTTTGTCCATGTTTATATAAGTAATACATTACTATGAATAAATACTTTACATAAGTAGGTAACACATTCATATGAATAGTTAACATATTCATATGATTCAGCAACCAAAATTATAGTATTTTTGCACTAGAAGTCTATCCAGTCAGGTTTCCTATCAAACTTTAAAACAACTCATACCAATCAACTAAATCATCCAGGTTGTTTTTGATTTGCATTTCTCTGGTTAGAATTGAGCTTGAATATCTTTTCATTTGTATACAGGCCATTTATCTATTATTTTCTCTGTAAATTGTCATTTCATAGACTTTGCACACTTTTCTATTAGATTGTTGGTTTTTTTTCCTTACTGGTTTCTAGAATCTTTTGTTTTGTACTGGGGAAATTAGCCTATCATTTTTTATATGGGTTGCAAATATTTACCCCCACTATATTGTTGGTTTCCCGGCTTTCCTTATAGTATCTCATGCCATGAAGAATTTAAATTTTAGGTGTCAGATTTCTGTTTTTTTTTTTTGGCTTTTGATTTTCAAGCATAGTTGAAAAGACCTACACAATTTGAGATTAAACAGAATTATCTTATTTTTCTTCTAACAACTTTGTGACTTTAATATCTTAATGTTTTAACATTTGTTCTGCTTGGAATTTGCCCTGATACATGGTGGGAAATATGATTTCAACTTTAGTTTTTCCAAATGTATCCTTTATAAAGTAGCCCATTTTTACCCATTGATTTGAGGTGCTACTTCTGTTATATGATACCTTCTCATGTTTTCGGGTCTGTTTCTTAACTTTCTGTTCCATTGGTCAGTCTCGTGATTCCAGTGCCACACTTCCATTATTAGGCTTGATATGTCTAAATATCTGCTTGGATTCATCTCCCTTTATAGTTCTTCTTTCACAGTCTTTCTGACCAGTCTTGTTTATTTATTTTTTCCATAAACTTAAGAATCAGCAGTAGTTAGAAAGGTACATGGGACCAAAATGAGCGATTTAAAGATAGGATAAAAAGATAAAACAATAATAAACTTAAGAAACATGCCAGACCAACATAAAGAAAATTGTAGAACTCTCCTGAACAACACAAATGAAGACTTGAGAAAATGGATCAGAATTGCCCATGCACAGAAACACACTTAACCTTATAATGATGTTATAAGGATGTCAGCTCTCCCTGAAGTCATTTAATGCAATCTTAACAAAAGCCAACAGGATTTACTCTGTGTGTTGAGTTTAGTACTGCTATATGCTAATTCGATGCAGAGAAATAGTAATAAAATAAGGTAATCAAAATTGGTTCAATTTTGAATGAAAAAGGTAGTGTTTCATGATGATTTCCTTAAGTTAATCTGTTAAATAATGCTATGTTCTAAAAAAAAATTTAAAGTCCACTTATATTAAGAAGATGTACACTGACTGCTAGTATCAATTAGGGAAATTAAATGTAAACATTTGAGTTTTCCATTTTAATTCCATATCTTCATGAAAATGGAATAGAATTTCTTTAATAAGTCACATTTAGGTATACTGTTTTTAATTATAGCACTTAATTACATTGTCATTCTTATCAGTCCTCTGAAGAACAAGAATTCCTCAAAGACCAAAGACAAAATAACATGTTTGATATCTAGTAAAATGTCTGCAAATATAGTACACCTATAAACACATAAACATACATGTTACAGATCGGTTCTCCTTCTTACCAAATTCTTATTGAAATTTGTTTGCAGATAGAATAGAAAAATTGCCCCTGTATAGGAGTCTAATGACTTCAGTTTTCATGGAAAACAACATCTCAAGCTTTTTATATACAAACTAGTTTGAACAGTAAGCATTTGGTGGGTAATTGCTTTAGGGGAAAGTTAATAGCCAAAGATCAGGTAAGACTAAAATATTTTTCTTGCCAATTACCAGATTAATTCATCATTACCTTTAGTAAGAAAATAAGCAAAAAGCTCAGTTTTCCACAAATAAATGTCTGAAGGACTTTTTAACAAGGTTCTTTTAATTACTATCAAGGTGACTATTGATTCTTTTGAACTGATATTACAGTTAATATAATTGTCTATTTGCTACCCTGGCTTTACAGCTCCCTGCTAGTAAGATGAAGCATATTTCAAGTTACTGCCCCCTCATGTTAAGTGAAATTACAAAAAGAGATTTATTCAGTCAATTTCTGTGGACACAGTCTGGTCACTGCTTTTCTTCCGCCTAGCTAGATGGTCTGTCTCTAAAATATTAAAATGATTGAAGATGATCTAATTACAGCTTTGCTTTTCTCAATTAAAATTCTGAAAGGAAGTTTCCTCTTTGCCTTATTAGAAATAGCAAGCAAACAAACATGCAAGCATTCTTATGACATGGAATGAGGATATGGGTGTTAACATTGACAAAAAACAAACAAACCTCCCACTTCACTTTGTTTGTTACATGTGAATGGAAAGCTTGTCCTGTATTGCCATATTATTCTTGTGGCATTTATATATATACTGATGAAAAGATGCATACATACCTAATCATTTTCCATAATGCCTTTCCTCCCAAGCCATCAACCTGCAGAGGCAGGTTTCACTAAGGGTTTTCCTGCTCCTTGAGGAATATGAGAAAAATACCAAGATGAAGAAACCACCAAACCTTATAGTGTTAGCAGAGACATAAAGGGACACCTGGTGCCCCTCTTCCATTTCTTGTCTCCTGCCTTCTGCCAAGCCTTAGTCACAATGGATATTTTTGTTTCCTCCCACAGCACACATTTTTTTTCCCACTCTCAGAGCCCTCACCACTACTGTTTGCAAGCAAAGCTCTTCCCCGATATTTATCACGAGTGGCTTCTCTTATCCATCATGTCACACTTCAAAGGGACTTTCCCTGAGTCCATTTTTTGTTGAAAGTAAATACTCTTTTTTATTCCTTCTCATAGTTTTAAAACATGTTTCAGAGAAATTCACACAATTTGGAATTATCTGTTGTTTATTTTCTTTGTTTCTGTCCATTTTGAAAGTTCCCTGGGGGACAGGGACCATATCTGTGTGTTGGGATTTTAAAAAATTATTTTTATTTGCAAATGACACATAAAAAGTGCACATATTTATGGAATACAGTGTGATGTTTCCATCTACATTGTATACATTGTGTAACAATCAGAAATGACTCACAAAGGTAGGCAAAATGTTTGATGCAAAGATATCATTAATATTTATTATAGGAAAGTACACAAATTACTAAAAATTAAAGGCAAATACCATACATTTAAATGGGCCAAATAATTGAGCAGAAAATTTACAAAAGGCTAAAGAAATGTTTGAAAATGTGCTCAAGTTCAATAATAAAGAAACATGAGGCAGAATTTTTAACTATTTGTAAAAAATTTGAAGTATCTCATACTGTCATGACATATTGAAACTTTGCACCCAGTAAACTTACTTCTGAGAATTTGTTCTCACGAAGTCACCACCAACTTATAACAGTTACTATATTTGAGTTATAATTATAGGTCTTTTTTTCTATTTTATACAATTCTTTTTTAATGTTTTCACTTTTAAAGTTTAAAAAATTAAGTGATATTAGTACTTGCAAATTGACAATGTTTACTAATTTTTTTCTTGTTTCCATTTTTTGTTTGTTTGTTTTTTTGAGACAGGGTCTCACTCTGTTGCCCAGGCTGGAGTGCAGTGGTGCAATCTCGGCTCACTGCAACCTCCACCTCCCAGGCTCAAGCAATCCTCCCATCTCAGCCTCCTAAGTAGGTGGGACTATAGGCATGCACCGCCACACCTGGCTAATTTTTGTGTTGTTTTGTAGAGATGATGTTTCACCATGTTTCCCAGGCTGGTCTCGAACTCCCAGGCTCAAACAATCCACCCACCTTAGTCTCCTAAAGTTCTGGGATTACTGGCATGAGCCACCATGCCTGGCCCTACCTGTTATTTCTTTATGATCTGTTAAACTAGGAAGTGATATATAAATATCCTATAATGGATTATTTTGTTCTTCAGCAAGCAACCTGATTTGAAAATAATAATCATATATGTACATAAATTTATAGTGTTCTATTTTCTCTTTAGGAAAATAAGGAAAAACAAGAAAGAATTGAACGAAAACAGAAGAAACGTCATTCCTTTCTTGAAAGTGAGGCACTTCCTCCGTGGAGCCCTCCAAGCAGAACTGTGTTCGCAAAAGTGTTTTGATAATTCTAGTTCTTACATTATTTGGTTATTTATCGGTTTGCCAATATTAGCCATAGATTTAAAACCATTCAATTATTTATAGTTAGAGGAATATATTTTAATTAAATGCCAGACACTCCTGCTGACAATGAAAGAAATACTTTGGAATGTAATCAGTGAAAGCATTTTTTTGAACTGTAGATAAACTGCCTCAAACAAAGACCTAATAATCAGATTGTTTTTACCATTAAGATACATAAGATTTTATCATGTCCTGATAATTCTTATGGTGGAGTGATTCATGATCTTTTTCATTAAGCTCTGTATGTTATTTAAGTATATTTAATTCCAGTAATAAAAAGGAAATCATCTAGGTACCATAATGATAGAAATTATTCCTTTTGTGGATGATTGTGAATCTAGATTCAGGTTTTTAAATGAAGGGTCGCTGGGAAGTGCGCATATATTATTCCTTCTGAAACTGATGTTTAGCTCAAAGCAGTTGCATTTGTACTGTGCTAGTTAGAATTTTCATCAGTTGAGGCAGTAGCTCAGTAGAACTCTAATCATCAAGGCTTTTTATTTAAGAATTTTGCCTTATGTTTTAATATGAGTGTACTTTATCTGTTCCAGGCTTATGTGATAATCATAGGTACTTTATAATGAGTCCACCTCTGAAATTTTTCTTTCTGAATTCTATCTCACTTTATTATTTCAGTGATACCAAAAGACATCAATGTCACAGTAGTGATATACTTATGTATTAGTTATGGAAATTCCACAGGAGTTCAAGGTCATTATCACTATAATTATTTTCCTGACTAAAGCCATAAAGGTGATTTAGGCAATTATTGTCATCTTAGCTAGTCCTGTTTTATAGCTTATATTCAGCAGACAGCTGTATGGGAAGGTAAATATGTTGACAATGTCCACAAAGCCTTTATTTATTTATTTATTTGATCTCTGCATGTCCTCGTAGTAACTGGTCTCATACTTGACCTGGTCATCTGGTTTAAGACAGACCAAGTGTATGCTCACGGAGCTGAAATGCATTAGTCAGTTGTGCAATGAGGAGATGATGGATGAGAATATATAGTTCCTATTTATTGAGCATCTAATATATAATCTCTACTGGACCTTTACAAATGTATTTAACATCTTTACAACAACTTTTCAGGGTAGGTGTTACCGGCTTCATCTTACATATAAAAATACTGGCGCTCAGATAAACCAAGTAACTTACCGTCCATCTGGAGTGTGCCTGAGTTGAGATCAAACGGGATTCAGTACGTCTGACTGAATCTGCCTCCTTCTGAAATCTCTATGCTCTTTTTCACACTTCTCTGTAGCCTCAGAGACTGCCAAGTTCTGTCAAGACCTCTGCATAATATCAACGTTACAAACACGTTTTAACTTTTAGAGCCTAAAATCATGTATTGTTATCCAAAGATGATCTTTCTCTACAGAAATAGCTGCTTGTTCTTAGAGATGGTGGAGGTCATTAAATCTATAAAGTGAGATAAAAATCCATAAGATTTCATGAGTTACTCAGGCATCTTATAACTACTATCAGAATATCAGAAAACTCAGCAAGTTATGTGACAAAGGCTTTGAGATGATCACTCCAGACGTTCCACATACTGAGCATCAGCCTTCTTGCTGCAGTGCATGTGCAAGATAAGATGTCATAGGCAGCTTTGTAAGATTGTATCAGTGCTATAGACAATTAAGAGAAATTTCATAGATAAAACTAGAACCCTTTCTATATGGCCAGAACTGTAATACTTTATGAAATTGATCTGATTATCAGCAATATGTAGTATCAGCATGGAATTTAGGACCTCTCTTACTCATTCCTGTGTCCCCCATAGTACCAAAAACAGTGCCTGCCAAAATAGATTAAAAGTGTTTATTGTATTAGCTGTTTAGAGCTGAAAAGATATTTACAAATTCCAGGGAAGTAAAAGGAAAAAAACTGAAAAAGGTACAGCTACTTTTGGGGATGTGAGATCATGGATGTGTATCTTATAGATTTCACATTATTTATTTACTTTCCATTATTTTCTTCTACATTATCATATTTAGTGGCTAACCATTATTACTTCTTAGGTTGTTGTGAGAACCGAGTTAATTAATGTAAACTATTTGACACATAATAAGGACTTAAATGTTCATTGTTGTCATTATTGATTTATTACCATGAGCCCTACATTTCCCCATTCATGAGTGTGCGAACATTAACATAGATAGGGTTGATAATGGTTATTTGACATTACACATTTTTAGGAAGAAGAAATTTCTGTCTTGCTGGCCAGTCCAGGCTGTAACACTCAAAAAAACAAAACAAAACAAAACAAAACAAAAAAACAGAAAGATGCCTTGTATTAGGGCCTTCCTAAAAAGAAAGCTAAGTAAGTATTAATTTCTTAGGATTGCTTCTGAGGTAGGATGAGGTGTTTGCATAGACCCAACAAGTCATTCACTTCAAATTTTTTTTGTCTTACTATGATAAATAACATATTATTTCCTGTTTACAGCAACCTGCACTGAAATTAACTAGTTGAATAAAATCACCTCTTCTAGCACAAATAAAGCTGAGTTCGGGGAGGTGGGTGAAAATACAGTACTGTTGTTTACTTCCTAAGATCCAAGGGAGAGAATCAAGCTTGGTAATATTCTCTTGAATATACATTTACCTATTTAAAAGGTATGATTTTCCCATATTTCCTTAGGAAGTATGTCATGTCAATATAGATATTTACTCATTAGGTTTACATTAATTTGTATTATAAGGGAATGTTTAATTCAAATTAAGGACATTAAAAGTATATAGACTTTCATATAAAAGTTCCGGTTTTATAAATTGCGTTGATCACTTAAAGAATGCAGAGATCTCAAAGTAAAGAAAACAAATTTTATGAATATTTTAAAACATTACTTAAAACAAGTTTCCTTAGAAAGCACATTTGTGGATAAATTTAAATATTAATACTAAATAATAAAGTAGTATACAGAATTTAAATTTCATAATAATGAAGAAAGTGGTAATGCTATTTAACTTAAAAGATGCAATATGGCATTTTAGATCAAGAGGTTAAAGTTTTCTTAATGAAAGAAAGTAACGATTTATGGGATAAAAATATTCCAGTGGTTTGTATTTGCTTCATACTTCAAAAGTGTTAGTCCATTTATTGTTTAAAGTTATATTGAAACTGATATTTTCACTGCTGCCAAAGCAGTACCTGACAGTAGATAGGTATCCACAGTCTTATGTTCCTTAGAGTTATAGAACTATGCCTCTGAAAGGGGTTTTAATACTTTAATAAACCTGGCCTAAACTGTTTTATTTCTAAGTTGAAGAAACTGATTGTCAAGTACTTTGACTTGTCCAATCTCATACAACTAACTATGGTACATCTAGAGTTAGATCTCAGTATCAGGGGTCCCAGTTGTATTCTGCTCACCATTCCACAATTTCGATATTGATAAAACTTTCACACTAACTTTTGAACTGTGGTTATTATTAATTTAGTTGATTCATGTCCTCTTATTTATCTCCTTACTCCTCCACTGCTGCCTTCATAACTGTCCACCAGATCAAAGCTATTTGGGTACCTACACTTTAAAGTGAGGGGAAATAATGAAGTTTCTTAAATCCTGTGTCATGGACTAAGATACAATAAAGAAAAGGAATTTCACAAAGTAGGGGAAATTACGTGTTAGTTATAATCATTCCCAAGAATAAACTAGTAAAAGAAACTTAGATTTCCCTAATTTAATCTTGACTCCGATTTTGATAGTGCTATATAAAAAGGTATTTAAACCCATATGCTTCCTTTTACATAAAAGAAAGATATCAACTTTCCTAGTTTGCATTTACACTGGCTAATAGGATAATAAAATGCTGTGTAAATGTTAAACTGGAAGTTTCTCTGAGTTATTTTTACTTTAAAATTTCATGTGATTATGCCATTTTGAATATGTATATTACATGTAATTGTATAATGTTAACTCGGGTAGGCAAAATTCTTGGTATTAAATTTAGGATGTTTTAAAAATTATTAAGAAGATATTAATGTCTGCTTTTTGATAGCATATATTTTCATGTAATGTTTAGTGTATTAAAATCAACCATTCAAGATTTATTTTATTGGGTGACACTATTGACTGTGTTCCAAAATGCCCATAGTGTTAGGAAATGTGGTGTGAGTTTTATTTGTGGGCTAAGGATAAAATAATCATATGCTAATATACCTTTTATTATAAATGACTAAAAATTTGGATATAAAACTGATGTTTTACTACACAAATTACAGAGAGAGATAATATAATTATATAATTATTAAATAATTAGAAAATGCAAATAAGCAAAAGTCACCCATGTTCCCAGTTCTCATCTCCTGAAGATAGTTATAACTAACATATTATTTTGTACTCTTCCTGTTAATTAGTTTCTAGTGTACTTTCTCCTGTAGCTGAAATTAAGCTGAGAAAAAAGGAAGAGATAGTTCCTCCCTCCTCTTTCTCTCTCCCACTCTGTCTCTCTCCTGTGCTATCTGTGTGTATATACAAATATGTATGCATATATATATAATGATGTACATAATATATATAAAATACAAATACTAATGTGCATATTTTCAAACATACACATATTTTTTATTATTTGAAATAAGAATGAGTCAGACTACATATTTGGTAGCCAGATTTTTTTCACTCAGTGATATATCATGAACATATTTCCATGCTAATATAATTTTCTAATAATTTTAGATGCTGTAACTACAATTTCATTGTTAATGGGCAATTTGTTGCTTTACAAATGGTAAATTATATGATAAATAATATGATCATTATTCTTGTAGCCAATATCATTATTAGAAATGATGGACCGCATTAAAGCTATAAAATTAAATAAGAATTTATAAATGTAAGGAGTTATTCAGACATCTTGTATCTAGTATTACAATATCAGAAAACTCAGCAGGTTATATGACATATACACTTTGAGATAGTCACTCAGAGGTTTTCACATACAGGATTAACCTTGCTGCAGTGCGTGTGCAAGATTAAAAAAGATGTCACGGGTCACTTTGTAATGTCATATCGTTGCTGTTGATAAATAAAGGAAATGTTATAAATAAAACTAGATGCCTTTTTATGTTTCCAGAACTATAAGACATAGAAGGTGAGTTGTTTAATGGGTATAGAATTTCAGTTTTTGCAGGATGAAGAGAGTTCTGGAGAGCACTTGCACGTCAGTGAGAATGTATGTAACACTACTGAACCCTACACTTAAAAATGGTTAAGATGGTAAATTTTACATATATTTGCCCACAGTTTCGAAACCACAAAGCAATAATAATAATGCTTACTTACTTGCTCATATAAGAGAGATATAGAGAAGACTTCTCCCCTGATTATAGAATGTCTTTTGTTTGGTCTGACTGGACCAACTTGCTCATCTCAGATGAGTCATCATTGATTCAATTACAGTTGCCAGGAGAATGTCAGATGCTGAAGGACTTAAACCTGGACTGAATACTGAGTAAGAAAGTAACAGTTCAAGTAAATCTCCTAGTAACTCTTCATTTCAGATTTTGTTCTTGAACCCACTTTATTTTTGACATAAGCTTTAGGGTTCTTGTTATGCTTTTAAAACCAAATCATATTATGATTTCTGGGAGACTTGTAGTAACCATACACAATAATGGAATCCATTCACTTGAAGTAGATATGATGAAATGACTCCCCATCTAGAGGTTGAGTTCAGTTATATTTCTGTATGCATGGCCATATAACTTTTAAAAATAACTCCATGGTGTTCATGGATCCCCTTTGAGGAAAGTGTACTGTGATTCCTACCCATCCCACACACAGTGTAACTTACTCTTCTCTACACTGTTTCCCTACCCTAAATAACTGTTATTGAAAGCCACACCTTTTAAAGTGTATACGTCTATTTTCCAACTTGAACGAGAGCTTTATGAGGACAGGAACTATATTTTCCGCATTTTGACATTTCTAGTTTATCAGTTGGTTCTGGATAATCTTTGGCTGATAGAATAGTAAGTTAAAAGTAAAATATAAAAATAGTGCATGAATATGGCCAGGTGCGGTGGCTTACACCTGTAATCCTAGCATTTTGGGAGGCCTAGGCAGGCGTATCACCTAAGGTCGGGAGTTGGAGACCAGCCTGACCAACATGGAGAAACTCCATCTCTACTAAAAATACAAAATTAGCCAGGTGTGGTGGCACTTGCCTGTAATCCCAGCTACTAGGGAGGCTGAGGCAAGGAGAATCACTTGAGCCTGGGAGGTGGAGGTTGCGGTGAGCAAGATCGCGCCATTGCACTCCAGCCTGGGCAACAAGAGTGAAACTCTGTCTCAAAAAATAAAAAATAGTGCATGAATGTTTGTGATGCGTGTATATTATATATATGAACAGGACTTTATAGATAAAATTTTAGAAGTTTTATGAGTATTAAAATAGAATTATAAATTATGAGTATTATAACTTACAGATAGAAATTTGACTTAAATATTACATTAATTTTTCAGTTTCAACAAAATAATCCTTTAATTGAAAAACCGCATATGTGTGTATCATTGCATTAAGTTGGGAAAGAAAATAAGCTCACCTATATTCTAATATTTACAATTAAGTAGATTAAGCCCCATCCAGAGCACTATTTTTTTTCTGTCTTGGTGTCCTTCCTGTGGCAATATTAAATTCAAAAAAAAAGAAACAAGCCCAGTGTTTACTGGTTCATTCAGTCTAAAAAATGAATCCCAGATAGAACTATCTTTTGAATGGAGCTGTAATTCAGATATACCCAAGCGTGGATGCTGAAGTCAAGGTCTACAGTGATGCTTCAATCCTGGTGAACGGATTGCATGGTTGCTTGTGGCTACTTTTTTCTAATTTTTACTTCAGGGGCTCTTCCCACACCCTGAGCTATTTTTCTTAAAATATGAATTTGTTTCTAACACCAGATTTTTCATTTTAACAGACACAATTAAAAGAAATATTTGACTTTTTTCTGATTCTACCACCAGAAAAATAATTGTGTATTGATAAACGTGTAAGGACAAATGACCTCAGTATTGAAGAGGCAAAATGGAGGGGCAAAGGTGATGATGAACTGGGGATACAGAGCCTACCTCTTCCTCAATAACAGCCAATAGTTGCCTTGACAGAATTTGTATTTTAAAATATCAGTGTCCATGTCAACTAAACAAACAAAACTCTTAAAGTGAACACTGCAAGGTCCAAATGAAACAGATCCGCAAGCCTTCCTGGTTATGTTTTCTTCTCCAGAAATTTCCAACTGGTGTGCTGAAGCACATACATGAGCTAAAGTGCACTGATAAACTACAAACGCTGGGGGTGGGGGGTGGGGGGCGCTCCTGTCAGGGAGTTACAGAAGCTCGGGACAGAGCCCAAGTTGAGTTTGTCCCCTCTGGCTCAAACTGCTTCATATAGGCTTCTAGGAGGGTGCCATATGGAGACTCGGGCTTACTGGTGTGCCATTTTGTACTTGCAGGTTACTACAAAGCGAGGGACATGGGCAGTCATTGCTCTACCTCGGCCATGAAGATCCTCAGTCATATGAAATCCATTTCAGTAGCCAGCTGTGGAGTAGGCTACTTCCCATGGATAGGGGCCTGTGGGCTGCTGAAGGGGTTAATTTCTCAGATGCCCAAAAAACATCACTGTAGGGGATCAATCGGTGTGGTTGGAAAAATTATAGGAAATAGACACAAACCTTCTTGGAAGGCCAGGGGGCTTGCATAGCTTCAGTCAAAGATTTGGCTGAAGGCAGCCAGATTCTCTTTTCAGGAGCCAGAGAGCGCAGGGCACAGATACAAAGGAATATAACAGAGTTTATCTAAATAGCTTGTTTACTCATGTGGTCCTAAGACTAACCTTTGATCATTCGCAGGCAGGATGGCTCTCTCTGGGAAGGCTGCCCAGGTTAATTATCCACAGGTTTGTTGACTCAAAGCCTTTGTCATTAATCTGTGCTGAATAAATGCCCACAGGGCCAGCTAGTCAAGGCGTGGGGCTGCCACAACTCTTTCTGTGCATGGCCCGGCACCCTAGCTGCTCTTTCACTGAATAATCAGTGAGTACGTTATTCATCCGTTGTGCATCACTATGGTGGCCAGCCTAATGGCCAGACTAATAGAAGCTGGGTGGTGCCTGGAGGCTACATGGAGTCTCCTGGAAGGTACAGTTCTCTATCTTCAAGTATATACTGCCTTTCATAGTTTGTGTGAGCTTTTAATGGCATCCAAACTAGCTGCAAGGTGACTGCACTATCCATTCCAACCATGGAAGTGCCATTCATCAAACCAGAACTCCATGATTATCTTGATACACTATATTTCACAAAATATTCAACAGGATTTGAAGTTTGCTTTGTCACATGAAATCTTAGCATTTTAATTGTTAATGAAAGAAAAGAATGCTGCTTGGCTACTTAAATATGATCCAATGGTAAGGATTTGATGATGCAGTATATGTTTTCAAAAATTGTATTATCTGTTTTTGCTAACAAAATGTTTGGTCTCTAAAGGTTTGATGAGATATTCTTTAAATGTCTTGATCAGGATTGCATGTGGACATCTCAAATATAAAACCTGATATTAAAAAGTCACACAAGCAAAGTTAGTCCATTTTCACACTGCCATAAAGATAGTACCTGAGACTGGGTAATTTACAAACAAAAGAGATTTAATTGACTCACAGTTCCACATGGCTGGGGAGGCCTCAGGAAACTTACAATCATGGTGGAAGGTGAAGGGCAAGCAAGGCACATCTTACATAGTGGAGGAGAGAAAGAGAGAGAGCAGGGGAAATGCCAGACATATCAAACAAACATCTCGTGAGAACTCTCTCACTGTTATAATAACAGCATGGGGGAAACCACCTCCATGATCCAATCACCTCCCACCAGGACCCTCCCTTAACACGGGATTACAACTTGATATGAAATTTGGGTGGGGACACAGAGCCAAACCATATCATTTCTGCCTCTGGCCCTTCCCAAATCTCATGTCCTTTTCACATTTCAAAACCAATCATGCCTTTGCAACAAACAGTCCCTTCCACCTCTGAGCTTGTAAAATCAAAAGCAAGTTAGTTACTTCCAAGATACAATGGAATACAGGCACTGGGTAAATGTTCCTATTCCAAATAGGAGAAGTTGGCCAAAACAAAGAGGCCACATACCCCATGCAAGTCCAAAACCCAGAAGGGCAGTCATTAAATCTTAAAGCTCTGAAATGATCTGCTTTAACTCCATGTCTCACATCCAAGGTACTCTGATAGAAGGTGTGGGCTTTCACAGACTTGGGCAGCTCTGCCCTTGTGGCTTTTGAGGATACAGCTCCTGCAGCTGCTTCCATGAGCTGGCGCTGAGTGTCTGTGGTTTCTCCAGGCACCTGGTGCAAGCTGTCAGGGGATCTACCATTCTGGGATCTGGAGAATGGTGACCCCCTTTTCTCACAGCTCCACTAGGCAGAGTCCCAGTAGGGACCCTTTAGGGGCCCCAGCCCCATAAATCCCCTCTGCACTGCCCTAGCAGAGGTTCTTCATGAGGGTTCCACCCCTGCAGCAGACTTCTGCCTGGACATCCAGGTGTTTCCATACATTCTCTAAAATCTAGGCAGAGGCTCCCAAACCTCAACTCTTGCCTTCTGAGACCGCGTAACTTATAAACAACAGAGGTTTAATTGACTTGCAGTTCCACATGACTGGGATGGCCTCAGGAAACTTACAATCATGACAGTAGGTGAAGGAGAAGCAAGCATCTTCTTCACAGGTGGCCGAAGAGAGAGAGAGCATGCAGGGGAAACTGCCACTTTTAAAACCATCAGATATCATGGGAACTCCTTCACTATCATGAGAGCAGCAGGGGGGAGCCACCCCCTTGATTCAATCAGCTCCCACCAGGTCTCTCTGTCAACATGTGGGGATTAGAATTTGAGATGAGATTTGGGTGGGGAAACAGAGCCAAGTCATATCACCCAGTATACATTTTCAAACACCTTATTGTGACATTTGATACAGGTTTATTATTTTCTAATAATTTTAAATTTTACTTTTATATAAAGAAAAGGCAATTGTGTTAACCAAGCCTGATATAGGCATTCTTAAAACATTCAGGGTAATTAATAATAACAATTTTTTTTCTGATACCTTATGACAAATATTGGGAACTAGCTCTACCATTCCCAGATAATCAGGTAACTCATGTCTCAGAGTACATAACCAAAGCTGTGACTCTTTCCAGAACAAAGAAGATCTGTCCAGGTCAACTTATCTTCTCCATGCTAGTTATAAAGGTGGTTGTCAACATTTTCAATGATATCTTCTTTTGTTAAAAGAAGAGAAAATGTCTAATCTCCCTGGGTAGTGGGCAAGTTTAGTAAATATTCCAAAGACAGCCAGGTGTGGTGGCTCGTGCCTGTAATCCCAGCACTTTGGGAGGCCGAGGCAGGTGGATTACGTGAGGTCAGGAGTTCAAGACCAGCCTAGTCAACATGGCGTAACCCTGTCTCTACTAAAATACAAAAATTAGCTGGTTGTGGTGGCACACGCCTGTAATACCAGCTACTTGGGAGGCTGAGGCAGGAGAATTGCTTGAACCCAGGAGGCAGAGGCTGCAATGAGCGGAGATCGTGTCACTGCACTCCAGTCTGGGCGACAGAGCAACACTCTGTCTTGCAAAAAAAAAAAAAAAAAGAAAAAAATTCCAAGGACACCAAAAATACATAGTTTTTTGTGAGATATAGGAATGATTTTGGTCAGAGTAATGATTATCTATTATATGGAAGCCCAGTAAATAGATGAGATATGTCAAGTGCTAGTCTTAGTACTGAGTATACATAAATGGAAAAAGCAAAGTTCCTGTGCTCATGCAATTTATTTTCATAGGGAAGAGAAACACTGAACAGATAAACAAGTACATATGTAATGTAATGTTCACCGATTAAAAGTACGAAAACCTCTAAGCAGGGTATGAGGATAGAGTGATAGAAGCTGTTACATAGGATTATCAGAAGTTTGTCTAAAGAATACTGAGATAAACCTAAAAAGAGTGAATGAGCAAACCATGTGAATACCTAGAGAATAACCATGTGAATTTGACCTGTGGGACCTCATAAGGCATGGCACAGACTTGGATTTCATTTTAAGTCTCACGTGTAAAATTGGAGAGTTAATAGCAGTGACTGCACAAGATCGTGTAACATAGATATTTTCCTACGTAGACAATAGACTTTAGGGAACAAGGGTGAAGAGTTTAAGAGCTGTTGCAGTTGTTCAGAAAAAAGATGAGAGTAGTTGCACAGAATGCCAAGTCATCAAATTTCAGTTGTGTTTTGAGGGAGAAACTACAAGATGTGTTGGATGAGGCTGTGGAAAAAAATAGAATCAGGGATGGCACTGAGCAACAGAATGAATGGTGGTACCATTTATTGAAATGGAGAACACTGGGAAATCAAGACTGGAAAGGAAAACAAAGAATTCTGGAAAAGTTAATTTCAAAAGAAGGTATCATGTAGCTAGTTTGGATATTCAAATCAAGGAACAAAACTCCAGAAATGTAAATTTGGGAGTCATCAGCATACAGATGGGATTAGATGGGATCATCTAGATAGTGGGTATAGATTAAGAAGAAAAGGGGGTCCCTGGCCAGGTGTGGTGGCTCACACCTGTAATCCCAACACTTGGGAGGTCAAGGCAGGTGGATTGCTTGAGTTCAGGAGTTATAGACCAGCCTGGGCAGCCTCGGGAGACCCTGTCTCTACAAAAAACACAAAAAATAGCTGGGTGTGGTGGTGCACACCTGTAGTCCCAGCTACTCGGGAGGCTGAGGTGGGAGAATCACTTGAGCCAGAGGAGGTTGAGGCTGCAGTGAGCCGTGATTGCATCACTGCACTCCAGCCTGGGCAACAGAGAGACCCTGTGTCAAAAAAGAAAAAAAAGGCTGGGCACGGTAACTCATGCCTGTAATCTCAGCATTTTGGGAGGCTGACGCAGATGGATCACTTGAAGTCAGAAGTTCAACAACAGCCTGGCCAGTATCCTGAAACCCCTTCTCTACTAAAAATATAAAAAAATCAGCTGGGCGTGGTGGCATGCACCTGTAGTCCCAGCTACTCGGGAGGCTGGGGCAGGAGAATCATTTGAACCTGGGAGGCAGAGGTTGCAGTGAGCTGAGATCGCACCACTGCACTCCAGCCTGGGTCTCGCAGCGAGACTCCACCTTAAAAAAAAACAAAAAAGAAGAAGAAGAAAGAGAAAAAAGAAAAGGGGTCCCAGACTGAACCCTAGGGTAACCCAACATTTTGAGGTCAGAAGGATGAAGGGACTCAACACCTGAAACTGAGAAAGAAAAGCCAGTGTGGTTAGAGAAAATCCAGGAGAGGTGCATTCCTTGGAAAGCAATGAAATAAAGTGCTTCAAGAAAGAGAATGACCAAGTAATCAGAAGACTGATGATTGACTTATTTGGTAATATGGAAGTCAGTGTTGACCTAAGAAATTAAGATTTCAACAGAGTGATGGGGATGAAGACCTGGTTAGTGTTTTCAAGAAAAAGAAGGGAGAGAGGCAATCAGAATCTAAGTATAGGCCACTTTTCGATAAGCTTTGCTAACAAGGAACAAAGAAAATTGGAGAGGGAATCATAGATGAAGGGGATATGGGGTCAAGGCTGGCTTTATTTGTTTTTAAGATAGAAGAATTTATAACTTATTTGCAACAATCATTTAATAAAAAATGAAATGGAATTATGCTTCCTATGCTTTTACAGGCAGCAGATATGGTAGCATTGCAGAAATCAACTAATTTAGGTGAAAATTATGTGTGCCATGCTGACAATAATGTTAGTATTTTCCCCTTTAGCAAGCACAATATAATAAGGAAACCATAATATTGAGTTATAAAGTTGAAATGCAATGTCTGTATATCATGCAGACTACTTGATATCTATTAAGGTCCTTTCAGGACAATGGTATAAATTTCTGCTCTTGCTAAAAAAATATTGACCAGCTGTAAAAGTTGGCAATAATTAATGTTTGTTTGGAATATTTACAAACAAAAAATTCAAGGCTTTGGATAAATTTCCCTAAGTAACAAATATGTTTATATGAAAATTCATTAAAATAATTATAATTTACTATAAATGAACAAGTAATCACAGAAAATATATTATGCAAATATACTTACACATAATAATTTTTAAATTGAAGAAAATACTTACAAGGAAAATAAATAGAAAATATAAATACTCCAGATATATATATATAGTACATTAAAATTTTCAGCTTAGATTGAATGTCTCATTTAAAACTACCCCCATACTAAGAAAAGAAAACAATGACCTTCAAATAAATTATAATTATTACCATCCATGAGTCATGACAGCAAGTGAAATCTGTCATAAATATATAAAAGCAGCTTCAAGGTGTTTTTCACAGGGCAAAAGTATATGTTTTATTAATGAGTCATATAGCAGAGTTGCTTATTTAGAAATTCCCAATAAGATGAGAAAACAAGTCGATGTGTTCTTCATTGTACTTAAACACTCAAACTAAACAAGACTATTACCTGTTTTAATTTAATTAAAAATTAAAACTAGGCCCTGTTTGTCCATTTTTGTTTGTGTTACAATTGCTTTTGGTGACTTTGTCATAAATTTTTTGCCAAGGCTGATGTCCAAAATGGTGTTTCTAGGTTTTCTTCTATGAAACTTTTATAGTTTTAGGTCTTACATCTTTAGTCCATCTTGAGTTACTTTTTTAACATGGTGAAAGAAAGGGGTCCAGTTTCAATCTTCTGCATATGGCTAGCCAGTTATACCAGCACCATTCACTGAATAGGGAGTCCCCTCCCCATTGCTTGTTATTGTCGACTTTGTCAAAGATCAGATGGTTGTAGGTGTGTGGCTTTGTTTCTGGATTCCCTATTCTGTTCCATTGATCTGTGTATTTGTTTTTGTGTCAGTATCATGCTGTATTGGTTACTGTAGCCTTTTAGTGTAGGTTGAAGTCAGTAGTGTGATGCTTCTGGCTTTGTTCTTTTTGCTTAGGATTGCTTTGGCTATTCAGACTCTTTTTTGATTCCATATGAATTTTATAATATTATTTTCTAATTCTGTGAAAAATGACATTGGTGGTTTGATAAGAATAGCACCAAGTCTATAAATTGCTTTGGGCAGTATGGCCATTTTAACAATATTGATTCTTTCTATCTATGAGCATGACCTAATTAAACTAAAGAGCTTCTACACAGCAAAAGAAATTATCGATAGAGTAAACACACTTACAGAATGGGAGAAAATATTTGCGAACAATGCATCTGACAAAGGTCTAATATCCAGAATCTCTAAGGCACTTAAACAATTCAACAAGCAAACAACAAACAACTCCATCCAAAAATGGGCAAAAGACATGAACAGACTCTTCTCAAAAGAAGACATACATGCAACCAACAAATACATGAGAAAATGCTTTACATCACTAATCATTAGAGAAATACAAATCAAAACAACGAGATACCATCTCGCATCAGTCAGAATGGCTATTATTAAAAAAAAAAAGTCAAAAAATAACAGATGTTGGTGAGGTTGTGGAAAAAAGGGAACACATACTCTGGTGGTGGGAGTGCAAATTAGTTTAGCCACTGTGGAAAGCAGTGTGATTTCCCATAGAACTTAAAATAAAACTATCATTTGACCCAGCAATCCCATTACTGGGTATATAACCAGAGGAAAATAAATCATTCTACCAAAAAGATACCTGCATTTGTCTATTCATTGCAGCACTATTCGCAATAGCAAAGACATGAAATCAACCTAGATGCCCATCAATGGTGGTTAAAGAAAATGTGGTACACATACACTATGAAATACTATGTGGCCATAAAAAGAAATAAAATTATGTACTTTAGAGCCGGGCGCAGTGGCTCACACCTGTAATCCCAGCACTTTGGAAGGCCCAGGCGGGTGGATCACGAGGTCAGATTGACAGCATCCTGGCTAATAAGGTGAAACCCCGTCTCTAATAAAAATACAAAAAATTAGCCGGGCATGGTGGCATGCGCCTATAGTCCCAGCTACTCAGGAGGCTGAGGCAGGAGAATCACTTGAACCTGGGAGGCAGAGGTTGCAGTGAGCCAAGATTGCACCACTGCACTCCAGCCTAGGTGACAGAGTGAGACTCTGTCTCCAACAATAACAACAACAGTAACAACAACAAAAATTAACTAGTTTACAGCAACGTGGATGCAGCTGAAGGCCATTACCCTAAATGAATTAACACAGGAACAGAAAGCCAAATACTGCATATTCTCACTTATAAGGGGGAGCTAAACATCGGGTAAACATGGACATAAAGATGACAACAATAGACACCGGGGACTTCTAGAGGAGAATGGAGAGAAGAAGATGTGGTTTGAAAAACTACCTATCAAGTACTAAGCTCAAGACTTGGGTGATGGGATAATTCATACACCAAACCCTATGTGCAGGTTTGTTGCAATTTACCCATGCAACAAACCTGCACATGTACCCACTGTACCTAAAAGAAAAGTTGAAAAAGAAAATGAAAACATTAAAACGTGATTAAATATATAGTATATTAGAGACTTTAAGGATTTAACCCAAATAATTTCAAATATACTTTCCCTTTTCCTTTCAAGTTATTTTAAAAGTTAACAGATAAAATGTTTTTATGTCTCTGTCTCATCATGTGGTGAACAAAAACAAAGAAAGCCCGTGAACAGAGAGCAGGGTTTTCAGATGTCAAGTGGCTTTCCATGTGGAAGCAGAAGTTATAAGCATGTGACAACCTATAGCCTTTTCAGAGCTATAATTATTTCTGTTAACTTTTGGAATTTAGTAAAAACACAGTCCCTTCTGACCTTTTCTGGGTTTTTTGATATCAGCTGTATAGACAAATAGCCTGAACTAAAAATCAGTCAGGTTAGAGTTCATTGTTACCACTATAAGTTACAGACATTGTCAGTTACTTAGCCAATAGCCATTCCTCAATTCTTCTTTGATAACAGAACCATAGTTATGTCTAGAGCAATAAGGTGCCCAGTCAAATGCTGACTTTGCATCTTTTCTGTGGCTATTGGTGACCAGATGACACAATTCTGCCAGTGCAACTTGAGTTGTCTTCTAAGTTTAAGTAAGCTTTGAATTTCCTAATAAAAGGACAGATACAGTGAGGTTTTCTACCTTCTTTTTGCCTTGTACATAGACATGATGGTAGGAACCACAGCAGTCATATGGTAATAATGAGGGAAAAGCAAGGGAATTCCAGATATATTGACTGCTGAAATAAAGCAACAACTGCTATTTCTGGACCTACATTCTTATAATAAAAATAAACAACTAGGTTTTAAAGCTGCTGGCAACTGGTGTTCTATTACGAGGAACCAAAGAAAATTCTGAATGACACACTCTTATTCTATTCATACACTCAGCAAAAACTTGAAACTGGTGTTCCATAATGTATACACCATTTGGATTCAGCAGTGTATTAGTCAAGGTAACTCTAGTTACTACAATAGGCAACGTTCCAAATTTCAATGGCCTTAATGCAATAGAAGTATATTTTTCAAGTACTTAAAACTCTAGGAAACAAAACCAAGGGTGGAGATGGTGGTAGTGGTAGCACTCAGTTCCTGCAGTCAGATTTGAGCCCTGCCATTCTTTTTTTTTTTTTTTAAGAGATTACAGGGATACAGATGCAATTGTGTTACATGAACATATTGCATGCAGTAAAGTCTAGGCTTTTCGTGGAATCTTCACCTGAATAGTGTACATTATGCCTATTAGGTAATTTCTCATCCCTCACCCTTCTGCCATCCCTCCACCTTTCTGAGTCTCCAATGATCAGAGCCTTGCCATTCTTTGGAAAATGACTCCCAACATTGAGCTGGCAGGGTGGAAACAGAACAGGTAGAGGAATTCATGGAAGGTTTTCACCTGCCAGATCTAGAAGCAGCACACATTCATGCTACTCATGCCAGTGGCAGGAACTCCATACCTGCAATACCTTACTTTAAGGCACATAAGATAGCTGTGGACCCAGAAGGAAAGGGAAACAGATGTGGTAGATAGCCAGTCTCTTCCATAAGTAACAAGTAGAGTTTTTAATGTATATTTGTCAAATTTTTCTATTTTGCTAAATATTTATATTATGTGTATATGTATATATATATACACACATGCAAATATGTGTAAATATGTGTGTATATATGTGTGTGTGTGTATATGTCAGATTTTAACATCTATTGGGTGCTTACTTTATTCTAAGTACTAAATGCTAAATGTTTTTGCAAGCATTTTATCATTATCCCTCCCAAACATCCTATGAAGTAGGTACTATTATTATCTATATTTTACTGTAGCATACTGAGGCTTAGTGAGTTGAAGTAATTTGCCCAAGAAAATAGAGGCAATAAGTGTTGGAGCTAGGGATCTTTCTTTATTCTGAGACATAACTCTATTTTTAAAAAGAACTTCTGCAATTAGGTTGTATTAATGATTAATTATGTCATATCCAGGCTTGACAATATGTATTGATGTCACTTACATAAATAGATTAAATGTCAGGCCCTCTCTCATAAATATCCCTTTCTTTGTATACCTGCCCACTACCTTTGGCCTTTTAGAAACAAGAGTGATTTTTAGGATTGTTCTAGATGAAAATATCTTTACTTCTCAATATTTGGTTGTATAAGCAACTAGCTTCAGGTATTTCTGCTTTGCCTGAATGTAATTCCCAGGTAACTGGGCAATGCCTGATTTGCTATATAGCTTACTTCAACCCTGATCCTCTTGGCCTTTCTGCTCTCTTCTACTGCCTAAAATTTCTCCACAGTCTTCTTTGTTCTCATAAATATTATTGCCTTTGAGGACTGCACTCTCCTTTAGTCCTATATAAAATGGGACTCAGCCAAAGTTGTCTTGATTCCACAGCTTGCAATTGATGCCAGTCTTCTGCCTTTTCGGTGAAATACTTTTTCCCTTCCTTGCTTCCAGCTGTCCAATTCAACAAATTGGTCTCCTGGTTATAATGACAAAAACACTATAGTATTTATATAAATTGACCAAAAAGGTTCTCTGCTCACCAAAAATAAATTATGCAAAATAACAATGACCTGTCCCCAATTTTACATGTATTTTACATAGTTTTACCTCTATAAATGTAATGTATAGCATAAATGAGAATAACAAGTGTCGAAGAGAGTGATGACTTTTCATTTTGCACATCAAGTTTAACTATATAGGATACAAAGAATGATTTGCTTCTATTGCTAAGTGTTTTAGAGATATTCAATTAATTTATTCTTCAGACAGCCCAATAAGTTTGGTTAATGTTAGTATCTTAGCTTTATGCATGTCTGACAGGAGTGAAATGGATACTGAATAATTTGTAATCAAATTCTTAGGAGTCTCAGATTTGAAATCCTAGTGTTCAAATAGTGTTTTCAATTCAAGCTACCATCCCTGCTTGTATTTTCAAAACTCACTGATAAACTAAATCAAGTGGAATTTACAGGGGTAATTTTTAGTGAGTTTTTAAAGAATTATTTACTATTGATGTATAACTTACATAGAGTAAAATGCTCAGATTAAGAATTTCATACGGTCTGTTTGAGAAATACGTACCCTCCTAACACCACACAGAATAGTTCCATCACCTCAGAGTGTTCTCTTTTGTCCCTTCCCAATCAATAGCCTCTCCACACCCTACTCCCATGTATCAACCAATTTAAAATATTTTTCCCTAACTTATCAGCTTGTGTTTCCATATATGAATCTTATATATGATGTTTTTCTTGTAAGAGTCCTGAGAAATCATATTTCATATTCAAAGAGTTTGCCTCAGAATAAGTAGAAATGAGCTTAGATTCTGACATAAATAATATTTAAACTAATTAGCTAACTCTATGATTATTAATCTATCATTCCAAGGATACCATTGCCTGTAGCTGTCGTGAATAGAGTATTTCTAACTGTTAATAATATCGCCTACACACAGGTCAAGAAGCAATCAAGGTTAACACAGAAGACAATGTAGCATCATTGTATGTTTAGATTTTTCCCTCTTTGCCTAGTGATAGATCATTTTAAATTGAGTTTTTAGCCACAGTAGGGAAAGCTGCTATGTTAATGCATAGCATTATTTAATAATTTACCCCAGTATCACTAATGAATAGACCAAAGAGGATCATAGTTTTGCAAGAAAACATAGAGTGGTATATGTATGTATGTGTGTATATATATACATATATATATACACACACATATATATATATACACATATATATATACA
The DNA here is from genome assembly GCF_000001405.40 of Homo sapiens. Taxonomy (NCBI): domain Eukaryota; kingdom Metazoa; phylum Chordata; class Mammalia; order Primates; family Hominidae; genus Homo; species Homo sapiens. The sequence continues at coordinate 155,328,436 of NC_000004.12, read as the reverse complement.
TACATATATGATGCAGTGAATTTTGCAAATTTCCTTTCCAGTGTTGTTTATCAAGGAAAACTTCTTGTGAAATTATTTCACAAATTCCAGCAAAATGTATAACTGAGTATCCCATCCAAAATTGGTACGCAGTCATTTATGAATTTTGTCAGTGTATACCAATATATACCCGTAAATGCCAGACAAAATTTGCCCAAAATTACAATTACTATAAAAGAAAATAAGCACTATTTTTTAAGAAAATAATCTTGGAAGTAATTCAAAATTAGGATAATCTTTAACCAAATTCCATGGTGGGAGGAAAGTTGGAGTGTTAATAAGGGTAAAGTAGAAAACATGATAAATGTGAGATAAATGTAAACATTTGAATGTTTTTATTCATTTATATTGGTTCCAGAAATAATTTAAATGGGCTAACGGCCAGAGGTTCATCCAGCTCCTTACAACATAAAATATTTTTTAGAAGGTCAGCCTGAAATGTGACCCTCTGTTTGTGTAAGAATAAAATTGCTTCAATATTTCAATTATGTTACTCCATCTGCCAGTGATGAGGTTGTAAATATGTGATCCACTCAGTATTTTGTGTAATTTTATTGGTGGTGACATTTTTCATCTATTATGAAAAGAACAGTCTTCATCACTACCTTCTACCTTATCTCTCACTTCCTCTCCCAATTTGCATTATTTATACTAGAACTACATTATCATTATTTTAAACATTTACATTCCCCTCTACAACCACAGAGGGGAATTAATACTTAAGCACAGCTTAATTAGTACTTAAGCACAGCTTAATTAAGTATTAATTCTTAGTGAGTTAAATGAACTCAGAACTGACCACTAGTCCCTTCCTTTCTTTATTCATTACTTGGTTTTCTCAAGGCTACCCTGTGGTACTTTCTATAAAAACAATCTTGTTGACAATTATATTTCCTGAGTTCTTTTATGTTTAAAAAGATGTAGGGTTATGGCTCTTATATCTTGTGACAGTTTCGCTAAATATAAAGTTATAGGGTGTTTCTTTCCTTTCTTTAGTGTAGTCCATTGTCTTTTAGTGCTGTGAGTGTATCTATGAAGAGGTATAAGACTGGAACCAATTTTTATGCTGTATAGATAACTGTTACGGACTTAATGCCTATGTTTCTCCAGGTTTGTATGTTGAAACTCTAACCCCTAATGTGATGGGATTAGGAGGTGGGGTCTTTGGGAAATAATAAGGTTTAGATGAGGCTGTGACAGTGGAATCCCCAGGATGGGGTTAGCGTCCTTATAAGAAGAGGAAGAGACCAGAGCTTGTTTACTCTCTGCCATTTTAGGACACAATGAGATGGTGGCCATCTGCAAGCCAGGAAGCTGCTCCGCACCAGAACCTGACCATGCTGATATCCTGATCATGGTCTTCCAGCCTCCAGAGCTGTGACAAAAGGACTTTCTGTTGATGAAGCCACCTAGTCTGTGGGGCTTTATTATGGCAGCCCATGCTGATTAGGACAGTGATTTTTTCCTTTTGCAAAAATGATCAAGGGACTCTTTTCCTAGTGTTTGAACCTAGTAATATATACTTGGATATGTCACAGCTTGATCATTCTATACCAGTTTTTCCTGTGGCAGAGAACATTGTTAAAAAAATCTGTGGATCCTAACTGGATTTCATTCTGGAAAGTTTTTTGAATTATATATTTGGATATTTTTGTCTTTAATTCATCAGATTGCTTATTGAGGGACCCAATGATGTATACATCACATTTTCTGTGTCTGCCATCTATATCTAACATATTTTCTCTAATCCTTTTCATCCTTGCTTACTATATTTTACTATCCTCACTTTTCTCAATCCTACATTCTGTGTCATTACTAGGATTTAAGTGGCATCTATTCTATTCTCCTGTTGGTTTCAATGTAACCTTCATTTATGTGATGGTTTTGCACCACTTTTATCTGGAACTCTACTAGTTTATCATCCTCCTGTATTTTTTCTGTATCTCCCTTAACCTCTTAGATCTCTGGTTTGTGTTTTTTGTTAATTTCATGAAAACTTACAATTCAGATTGTTATGGATTGTCATTTCCTCAATGGAGATACTTGCATCTATCATTTCTTCTCACTTCTATTTCTTTCCTCTTTTCCCCACTAGCAGTGGTAGTAGTAAGGTATATAGACCTGTGGTAATTATTCTTATTTATTATTATTCACTTTGAATGACCTAAGTCAGTCCTGGTTCAGTTATTTTAAGGAAATTTATGTACTAAAGGGACCAGAGAAGGCAAAGTGAGCAGGATTTTAGTCTCATTCTCAGTGAAACTTCTGATGTTACGGAGTTGTGTGTATAAGCATGATTTTTCTTAGCATATTTTTCTGAGCACTCACAGCAGATTGGCCTGTCTAAACTGCTCACAATTCAGTTTCTTTCTACTTTTGTGTCATCTACATGCAGTCATGACATTTTCAGTTTTCTCTCTTAGATCTAACTCTCCTATTACTCTACAGAGACACTCAGTCTTCAACGATAACCTCAGTAAGATATGCACCTTGTTCTATTTAATCCCTTTAAGCCAAAACGCAAAGAGGTTTTTTTCCCTCGGTATGCATTTCCATTAGAAAATGATGGTGTTTTGCTAGTTTGAGATCTGCAGTAGCATGCACCCCAGTGGTATGGAGAGAGCTCTATGTCTTCCTAGACCCCAGTGTAATCTTTCCTTAGCAGCCTTTCCTTATATATTGTTGTTTAGGGCTAAGATGACCCCTTGTTTCATCATAGATGGATTTTGTATTTTCTATTTTTTAGATTTTTCTGTTATTGTGAGTTGATTTCTGTAGGAAGAAAATGACAGAGATGTCTTTATAATGCCATCTTAAAATTTTAAGGACATAAATGTGCTTTTGATTTTACAAATTTTTTTCTTTTTCCATCTCTATGGGTGTATGGCAGTTGGCAGTGGAGCCCAACATGCATCATGTGTAGCAAATTTTAAGAGGCCCTAAAATCCCACCAGCTGACCACACTATCACCTTTATTGGCCCCACTTCTATCTCCAAACGCAAAAAAATTGTTAGAGAATTTTGGAAAGTATGTTTAGGTTTCAAGTCATGAAGATAAACATCATAGCATTGAAATGGAGAGACAGAAACTCCCTCACAAAGCCCAGGGGAAAGTGCTTCAGCAAGGCGGAAAACAGGTCTTTCTCTCAGAGGGAAAACTAAAGGAAATCAGCTTACTCAAGACTCAGGACCAGACTTTTTAGGACAGGGGATCAGAATAAAGCACATATTGGAACCACACAAATAAATCTCTTGTGATTCCTGGAGGCCATTCTTTATAGAAGGATGAAGACTGAATTCAATATGTCTGCAAAAGCTATGGTGTTATTTCCATGCAGCAAGGCAGCGTGTAGAGCTGTGGGTATACACTGCTCCCCTAGGGGTGCAGTTCAGGTGACCTATATTGTAACCTTGAAATTGGGGCCATCCCAGGTCTGATAGAAGATTCCCATTTTCCAGTAGAAAGCCTTTTATTAGTTTTATATTGCTGCTGTAAGAAATTCTCATAATTTGAGCAGCCTCACACAATACACATTTATTATCTTGCAGTTCTGTAGGTCAGAAGGCCAGTGTGTGTCTCATTAGACTAAAATCACAATGTTGGCAGGCCGTATTCTTTTCCAGAAACTTGAGGAGAGAATCTGCTTCCTGCTCATTCACGTTGTGGATTGGACCAAGGTTCATATTTTGTTGCTGGTATGTTCCTGAGGGCCATTCCTGGCTTCTATGGGACACCAGTTTTTTTGGTTCATGGCTTGCTTTCTCCACGTTCAGAGCCAACACTGGAGTATGGAATCATTCTAGTGTCTTGACCATCTGGCCCACGCTTCCACCTCCCTCTTCTTTCCAAAGCTCATGTGATTAGATTGGTTCCACCTGGAAAATCCAGGCACTTTTCTATATTGAAGCCAATTGATTAATTTCCTTAATTCTGTAAACAACCTTACTACCTACTTGGCATGTCCTTGCATATTCACAGTTTCTGGGAATTATGGCATGGACATCTTTTGGGGAGTCATTACTCTACCTAATACAGTCTCCCTTGCTTGCAAATAAAGGAGCAGAGGTAGGTTGAAGAGGTAAGTTGCATCAGGGAACAGAGTGGGGGGCAAGAAAGGGCAGCAGCCAGAGGCCTGCGATTAGGTTTGGAAAGGGAAGGGGATGCACACAGATGTGGAGGTTTGTGGCAGCATCACATCAGTGACTCGAACGTAAGCAACAGCTGATCTCACAAGGCTTCCCAGTCCAGGCCTCCCCATGGTGCTGCTCCCTTCTGCCTGGGAACTTCTCTCCATCTCATCCGCATTTACCTACCTAACTCCTCCTCATCCTTTATTGATTAGCCTAGTGGTTTTTTTTTTTTTTTTTTTTTGAGATGGAGTCTTGCTCTGTCACCAGCCTGGAGTGCAATGGAATGATCTCAGCTCACCGCAACCTCTGCCTCCCAGGTTCAAGTGATTTTCCTGCCTCAGCCTCCTGAGTAGCTGGTACTACAGGCACCTGCCACCATGCCTGGATAATTTTTGTATTTTTAGTAGAGATGGGGTTTCACCATATTGGCCAGGCTGGTCTCGAGCTCCTGACCTTGTGATCTACCTGCCTTAGCCTCCCAAAGTGCTAGGATTACAGGCGTGAGCCACCGCACCCAGACAACTGTTTATCTCTATACATCCATCTCATTCAGAAATAGCCCTCTATGCCCATACCCTATGTATATGTCTACCTCTTCTAAATCTACTATAAGTTCAAAGAAGACACGCAAGTTTTCCCCTGCTCCCCACTGATTATGTTCCCTGTTCTCAGCACAGTACCCAGGTCATAGCACATGCTGAATACACAAGTATTTGTTTAATGCAGGACTTGCTAAAAGAAATATATTATACTATGACTCTGGGTTTTAGTGCTAATCAAATAAGTTTCCCTAGAACTCTAACTGGATAAAGGAGACAGTGGAGTGTTTTTCAGAAGGAGCCAAGCCCTGATAAAGAGTTAGGAGTGACTCTAGAGTCTCATTTAATCTGGGTGTGGATTTGAGCCAAATAACACTCTTATTGGAACCAGAGCTTTGATTTCCTCTATAACTATAGGAACTGAAAAAATTGTATTACATACACCCTCATGTCCTTTAGAGGGAAACTAGATTTGAAGTCTCGAGGCTTGCATTTGAGTCTCAACTCTGACCCTTTCTGGGTTGTCAGACCATGAAACAAGTCATACAAACTTCCTCCCATATATCCAGCTTCCTGACAGTATTTATGAAAGTGTGTTAAATGCTAAAATTTGCTCTAACATGTAAGATATTGTTAGCCTAAATAATGAATGAGAGCTTCAAGTCACTGTTAACATTGGGTGGACCAAGGGCTAACTAGATTATCTGAATAACATGATCTCTCTCAAGCTATCTGCACATATGCCTGGCGCCTACTGCTGCAGTACTTGGATGCTAGAACAGACACATTAGACTAAATTAATTACTCAGGAGTCGGGGAAAGGCCAGTCTTTTTCATTTCATCTGTGCTGCAGTCATGAGGGAAACAATTATTTTACTTTTCAGATGCACTCTGTCAAGAATTTGAAGGGTGAGAGGATAGTGAGGCTAAAAGCAGAGCTTTCCTTGCCTCCTACAGACTGTGATATCTGCATCCAGTCAGAGGAGCAAAGGTACCCTTCACCACAACAGAATCTGTTCTCTAGAATGGCCATCTTTTCATGTCCTCCCACGAGGGACACAGCCACAGAATGTCTGTGCAAGGAAAAATCAAATCAGGTAGGAATCCATCCATTCAGGAGAAAACAGAATAAGTTTTTAATCTATAGAAGTTAACATCTGGTTAGGTTTTAGCAGACTATTATTAATAAAATCATTCAGGAATTATTTGTTGTCATTTTCAAATTTTTAAAGGTACATTGCACCATTTCACCATTTAGTCAAATACTTTTTGAGTTTCAGAGCTAACTAAGAAATACTTAAGAAGTTTATGACCAGACAGACTCTGGAGACACCCAGGGAAACTTATTGTTATCAGGATATGATATAGGAATTTGAATGTTTAACTCTCATCCCTGAGTGACTTTTTTAGTAGTTCTGGAGTTTGACAATGATTGTACTGTGTAGCCTTTTACGGTCCATCTCCTTGTGAAATTGTGTGATTCAATCATGTCAACCAACCATTCCTGAAAGAACCCAGAGGCCACCCTCTCAAATACACAGCACTGATACTGATCGTTAAATATCTCCTGAGTTAGAGAGTTTCACACTTTCCCTCTAACTGGTGCCATAATGGAGAATCTTGTGTAGCAGGGCTACACTGAGGTGCCCTAAGGATCTCACATCTTTCTACTCCCATTCGAGCAGGGATAAGCCAATGACAAGTAAGGCTCAAAGCCTCAGTAGGCTCATAGCTGCAGCAGAACAGAGCATCCGAAATATAGCAGCCACAGCACTATCTCCATGAGTACATCTTGGATGTTCCTATGTCTATACAAGTGCCTGGGTTTTCATTTTTCAAACCCCATTCCTCTATAGAAGATGTAGTCTGAATTTTCTGAAATATTCAGAATAAATTCTAGGGTAAAAAGGTGGGAGACAGAAGTACAATGATGCATGACCAGTTTTTCAAAGGGATACACCAACTATTATTCCCCAAGAAAAGAATTAGAAACTGCCAGCTGGGCAAGGTGGCTCACGCTTATAGTTCCAGCACTTTGGGAAGCCTAGGCGGGTGGATCACTTGAGCTCAGGAGTTTGAGACCAGCCTGGCCAACTTGGTGAAACCCCATCTCCACTAAAAATACAAAAATTAGCCAGGTGTGGTGGCGGGCGCCTGTAATCCCAGTTACTCAGGAGGCTGAGGCAGGAGAATTGCTTGAACCTCGGAGGTGGAGGTTGCAGTCAGCTGAGATTGCGCCATTGCATTCCAGCCTAGGTGTCAAGAGAGAAACTCTGTCTTAAAAAAAAAAAAAAAAAAAGGAATTAGAATCAGCCTTGTGGGCATAAGTCAGCCCCAGAGAGAAGAGAGATGAACTGTGAAGTAATATGAAAGGAACAGTTACTTCTGCCTTTTAAATTATAATTCTTTAATCAGAAAAAAAACCTCTTAAGCAAACAAGGTAAAATAGCTAATATTCCACAGAGTAATTGAAATTTGCCCTGTGGTACTCTCCATTTTCTGCAATATTCTTATCTCTAAAGAGAACAAGATGGATGGAGCCTATAAAGCCACAAAGGAAAAGAATAAGCTGGTAAAATAGTTCCTCCTAATGTTGAAATAAAAATGACTAATTGATATCATTTAGCCTTTTCCCAAGTGATCTATTATGAAAAGAACATTTGAATAGAGAACTCAGTAATAATTATTGAACCCCATGAGAAACCCTACATTAGACCAGAATAATATTTCTTATGTTTCATTGCGATATCATTAAAAATGCCTATGTTTTCCATGAACAAATAAAAGTCATAATATTTAGGTTTTATTCCCCTATCCCCAAAAATAAAACTTGATTGGTAGTAGCATGTAATAATGGAAACAAAAATTTCAAAGAACACATCTTTGGAATTAAAATAACCTGGGTTTACATCTCAGTTCTCCTGCTTAATAGCTACGTGGCTTGAATAAAAATCTTTAAGCCTCAGTCTTCTTATGTTTGAAATGTAGCTTTGTAAAATTTTTTTGACAAAAAAAGGATAATAAGAATAGTATAATGGCATAGAGGTGCCCTGCTGGAGATTACATTTGCTATTAGGCAGTTGCTCTTCCGGATTTAGCCAGTGAGAGGGCTCCTAAAAAGTCTGCTTGATTACCCAAGTGGGGACATTACTTTTTAAAGTGCTGAAGTGTCTTTTCTGTCTTTTAGAGATTGCATAAATAATGCTATTATCCAGAAAATGGAATACATGAACACTGTATATTTAGGCTTATTAGGCAAATATGCCAGATTTGGAAGGGGTAGGAGGGAGCTGAAGTGCCTTGGGATGTTTTCTTTAAGGAGAACGAGAAGATAGCCATGTTATCTAAGAGACGGTTATAACAAGGTCTTGGGTTAGATGGTATAGAAACTTGGGGTGGGAGAAGACGGTCAGGGTGGTCAATAGTAGCCTATTTGCTTATGCTAATGGTCCGAAAATAATGTGCATTGAATATAATGGCTGAAAAGCCCTGGGATCAGGGGATAAATCAGGAGAACCAATCTGGCAGTGTGTATTCTAGTAAAGACCAAGTCAGTAGTAATGTTTTTGTCTTCAGGAAATATTTCCCCTTAATATCAACTAGCTTCTCCATAAATCAGGAACTGGGAGCTTAAAACCTCTATTCTAGATAGAAACTAGGACAAAGTCACATAACCACATAAAATAGAAACTCCCCCACCGCAACATCTGTATCCTGCTTGATAGGACATTCACTACATATTTTTGTCTCTCTCCTGACCAAGATGATCTTAATGATTTCTTTAGCTTGACTAAACTTTAGACAGATTTCTTCTTGACTGTTGATGTCCCATCTTCCTTTTCTTCAAGCATTTACAGTAGAAAATTTGCTGTTGTAAATTCTTTCTCTGCCCTTTTGAAATGTAAATCTTCTCCCAGCCTTTTATCAGTTTGACAATCCAGGAATGTCTTTCTTAAGTACCTGGGATTCATTCCTTTGCAGTGCAATCATCAAGAAAAATTGCATCCCTATCTTCCAGTCTCTGGGGTAAGGTAGAAGCTTAACTTCCATAAGTGCCAAATTAGCAACACAAATGATCTGACCACATAGACACCTTAAGTTCCTCCAATACTTTTCTACTTGTTCATCCCCATAAGAAAAACACTCCAGGGTTCTGTGTTACGGGAGTTGAGTTCATTTTCTCTCTCTCTTTCTCTCTCTCTCTCTTCTATTGCAATAGTCTTGAATAAAGTCTTCCTTCCCTGCTTAATATGTCTGGTGTAATGTTTCTTTGACACTCCAGAGGAATGTAAGCTCTGTGAGGTGAGTGATCAGCCTGTTTTGTCATTGTTGTGTCTCTATCACCAATGCACTCACTCGTTATTTATTGGATCCATAAATCATGTCTTCTCGAGTCAATTGGACCAAGCTTTGAATCCTGCCTTTTATTAGCTATGTGGCTTTGAACAACTTGCTAATTCTCTAATTTTCAGTTTAGCTCAGTAAAATGGGGAAAAAGAAAAGCAATCTAATATCATGAATTTGCTACAAAGATTATACAGTGTATTAATATACATAAAGCATTCGCAATAAGTGAAACCTTTTGTAATTATTGTTATTGTTTTATCTGGTGAACTTAAGAGTGTTATATGTGGGCATTTTAAAAGGCCATGCTTTCATAAAAACAAAAATGAGGAATAGAGAAAGTCCAGGAAAAATGAAAAGGACAGAGTAGCTGATAAAAAAATCCAAAAATTGAGAGGGAGAAGGTAGGTAGGCTTCAGGAAAAAAACTAAATAGTATGTGATACAACAGGCTAAGTGGAATTCTACAGTTTTATTATGCCTGTTTCTCAGGTAGAATAAGACAGTGTGCCTCCATACCAATTGTTACCATGGGTTAGCTCTGTAGCTCATTGAAAGGTGTGGCAACATTCCCAGAAGGATGGCCTTCTTAGGCTGTGCCTTCTGGGTGGTCCAGTAATGCTTTTTACAGGGTCATCTGTCTGGAACTCATCACAAGAGTGAGCAACACCCAGTCTAACCCACCCCTATATTCCTCTGAGACTTGGTTCCTGAACTATCACGGAAATAATAATATCTCCTATAATAAAGACAGAAGGGGCCAGGCACGGTGGCTCACGCCTGTAATCCCAGCACTTTGGGAGGACAAGGCAGGTGGATCAGGAGGTCAGGAGATCGAGACCACCCTGGCTAACAAGGTGAAGCCTCGTCTGTACTAAAAAATACAAAAATTAGCCAGGCGTGGTGGTGGGCACCTGTAGTCCCAGCTACTCGGGAGGCTGAGACAGGAGAATGGCGTGAACCCAGGAGGCAGAGCTTGCAGTGAGCCAAGACTGTGTCACTGCACTCCAGCCTGGGCAACAGAGCAAGACTCCGTCTCAAAAAAAAAAAGAAAGAAAGAAAGAAGGCATATTTAATGCATGTTCAAACAGTAAAATACAGTGTTGCAGCCAAGGGAAATATTTAATGGCATTAGAAAGAAGAACACTTTTATCAGGAAAGAATGCAACTAGGAGGCCAGTTTTAGTTCAGCCTTATTATGGAAATCTGTCCTTCCCACTGTGGAAGCGTGGCAGAGAGACATACAAGTTATGACCAGAGAGATTTAGGCATTTAAAAAGAAAGGAGCACATGGGTGACTTTACACAGAAGTAAATTATCCCTGAGGCCATAATAGCAGAGGGCTATTGAAAAAGAGGGAAACCCCTAAAGAACCAAATTATATAAATCTATGTAGGCAGGACAAGCAGTGAAAAGGGTTCTAGAAAGGTATGAAGATATAACATACGAGCTGTGAATGGAAATATGGAAAATTTCTGCCACTGATTCTGTGCTAGGGATATGAAATGTTATATTTTGAGACTCCATAAAATGGAATTTGTGAACAAAATGGTGAAAGCCTAATAAGATACAAACTTGACCATGGCAGAAATGTCCTGTAGACAAATTTAGCTCAGGATCTATCACTCATTTCTAGTGATTCTCTATACATGTGTGTTTGGGGAGAGAGGGGCAAGGAGTGAAGAGGGAAAGTCGGACATTAATACCAAAAAGATACTGTATGGTAGTCATGAATTTTGTATATATTTTCCTCTTCAACCTATAGTATAGTAAATTACACGTGGTTTCATTCATTTGTGTAGTTTCACTCATTTTTAGTTTTTTATTTCATTTCCTTTACCCAAGGAAATGAAGCTCCCAGAGATTTACATAAGTTAATATCCAGACCAAGTAGATGCCAGATGCCCATTTCAGCCAAGATGATGATGCCCAGAGAATTACCTTTTAGAGCCCCCCACCCACTGCTTGTACTAAGCTTATTTCTCATTTATCCTAAATTTTCAGACTCTCCTTAAACTTTATTATAGAAGAAAGTAAAAGTCATGGAATTACAGCCACAACTGTTCCCCAGGGTTAAATCTTCAGTTCTTTATCCACTTCATGCAGTGTATTACTTTTTGAGATGTAACTTAAACCAAACAATTAATCTCTTATGACACAGTGATATTCTTACACATATATACACATCTCCCTTTTGATCTGAAGGCCCACACAATCTTCCATGCCTTATGGGATCAACGCTACCTCTTCCTTATTAACCCTTTGCATTATCATTTATGTGACACTCTTGCAGTTTTTAGAGCTGCCAAGTAGTTTTCAAAAAACTCTGAAAACTATGCCATAAAATTTCAGAAATTATTTTGTTACCATTAATAACATAAAACTTTGTAACATTCTATTTATGGAGATAGAGAAACACAGTTATATAAAAATCTATTTCATAGTTTTACATTGCATTTTTTCAATTTATGCATGATGACAGTCCAATCACTAGTTAGAAGATAATATTTTCTTTTTGCTCATTTGCTTATTCAGCAACTAATTGCTGAATGCTACCTTATGCCAGGTATTTCTTCTAGTTGCTTCAGATACATCAATGGCAAAACAGACAAAAATTCCTGCTCACATGCAGCTTACATTCTAGCATCACTGAAAAACAAAACAAAACAAAAACCAGAAAGCAGCTATGAGGTTAGTCACTAGGAAAGACCCCTTCCTAAAGAACCAGTTTACTGATGTGAAGGTCCAAATGTGTACTCCCAGTTTTGTCTTGGTTCAGGTTAATATAATCTTACTCCAAGAGTTTAATAGATTAACATGATGAAATAATTGTCCTTGTTCATGCAAGTGTCTAATGACACAGAGCTGCTAACATAATACAACAGCACATCTTATTCATGCAGGTGCTCAATGGAGGCAGCTCTGTTGGCAGTGACTTTATTCCACGAGGTGCTTCAGCAACCTAGGTCCTTCCACCCTGTCTTTCCACTGTTTCTTAGCATCTCAGAGTCTTCTCCATTCAGTAGATGGAAAAAATGTGTGGAGAAAGACAACCTTCTCCTTTACAGGATTAGCCTGTGTATTAGTTTGTTCTCACACTGCTAATAAAGACATACCCAAGACTAGGTAATTTATAAAGGAAAGAGGTTTAATGGACTCACAGTTCCACATGGCTGGGGAAGCCTCATAATCATGGTGGAAGATTAAGAAAGAGAAAAGGGATGTATTTCATGGTAGCAGTAAAGAGAGCATGTGCAGGGGAACTGCCCTTTATAAAACCATCAGATCTGTGAGACTTATTCACTATCACAAAAATGGCATGGGATTCAATTATCTCCCACCAGGTCCCTCCCATGACATGTGGGGATTATTACAATTCAAGGTAAGATTTGGGTGGGAACACAGAACCAAACCATATAATTCTGCCCCGGCCCCTCCCAAATCTCACATCCTTTTAAAAACCAATCATGCCTTCCAACAGTCCCCCAAAGTTTTAACTCATTCAGCATCAACCCAAAAGTCCACAGTCCAAAGTCTCATCTGAGACAAGGCAAGTCCCTTCTGCCTATGAGCCTGTAAAATCAAATGCAAGTTAGTTACTTCCTAGATACCATGGGAGTACAAGCACTGGGTAGATACAGCCATTCAAAATGGGAGAAATTGGCCAAAACAAAGGGGCCAACAGGTCCTATGCAAGTCTAAGATCCAACAAGGCAGTCAAATCTTAAAGCTCCAAAATGATCTCAGTTGACTCCATGTCTCATATCTAGGTCACACTGATGCAAGAGGTGGGCTCCCATGTCCTTGGGCAGCTCCACTCCTGTGGCTTTGCAGGGTACTGTCCCGCTCCTGGCTGCTTTCATGGACTGGCATTGAGTGTCTGCAAATTTTCCAGGTGCACAGTGCAAGATATTGGTGGATCTACCATTCTAGGGTCTGGAAAATGGTGGTCCTCTTCTCACAGCTCCACTAGGCAGTGCCCCTGTAGGGATTCTGTGGGTCCTCCAACTCCACATTTCCCTCTGCACTGCCCTAGCAGAGGTTCTCCATGAGGGCCCTGCCCTTGCAGCAAACTTCTGCCTGGACATCCAGGCATTTCCACACATCCTCTGAAATCTAGGAGGAAGTTCTCAAACCTCAATTCTTGACTTCTGTGCACCTGCAGGATCAACACCACATGAAAGCTGCCAAGGCTTGTGGCTTGCACCCTCTGGAGCCACAGCCTGAGCTGTACCTTGGCTCCTTTTAGCCACAGCTGGAACAGCTGGGACACATGCCACCAAGTCCCTAGGTAGCACACAGCAGGAGGGGCCTGGGCCCAGCCCGTGAAGCCATTTTTTCCTCCTAGGTCTCCATGCCTATGATGAGAGGGACTGCTGCAAAGGTCTCTGACATGCCCTAGAGACATTTTCCCCATGGCCTTAGTGGTTAACATTGGGCTCCTTGTTAGTTACGCAAATTTCTACATCAGGCTTGAATTTCTCCCCAGAAAATGGGCTTTTGTTTTTTATTGCATCATCAGGCTGAAAATTTTCTAAACTTTTACGCTCTTCTTCCTCTTGAACAGTTTATCACTCAGAAATTTCTTCCACCAGATACCCTAAATCATCTCTCTCAAGTTCAAAGTTCCACATATTTCTAGGACAGGGGCAAAATGCCACCAGTCTTTAAGTATAGCAAGAGTGATCTTTACTCCTCCAGTTCCCAACAATTTCCTTGTCTCCATCTGAGACCACCTCAGCCTTGATCTTATTGTCCATATCACTATCAGCATTTTGGTCAAAGCCATTCAACAAGTCTCTAGGAAGTTCCAAACTTTCCCACATCTTCCTGTCTTCTGAGCCTTTCAACTCTTTAGCAGATTTCAAACTTTCCCACATTTTCCTATCTTCTTCTGAGCCCTCCAAAATGTTCCAACTTCTGCCTGTTACTTTGTTCTAAAATCACTTCCACATTTTCGGGTATCTTCACAGCAATGCCCAACTACCTGATACCAATTTACTGTATTAGTCTATTCTCACATTGCTAATAAAGACATACGTGAGACTGGGTAATTTAAGGAAATAAATAAAGGAAAGAGGTTTAAAGGACTCACAGTTTCACATGGCTGGGGCGGCCTCACAATCATGGCAGAAGATGAAGGAAGGGCAAAGGGTTGCCTTGCCCCTGCAAGAAGGCATGTGCAGTGGAACTGCCCCTTATAAAACCTTCAGATCTCATGAGACTTATTTACCATCAGGAGACCAACTTACGGGAAAAACCTCCCCCATGATTCAATTACCTTCCAACTGGTCCCTCCCATGATACATGGGGATTGTTACAATTCAAGGTGAGAGTTGGGTGGGGACACAGAACCAAACCATATCAGCCTGAAACTAACATTTCTTCTGCTCAAATTTTATTTGTGAGAATTAGTCACATTGCCCCGCCTGAAGGTAAGGAATAGGGATCTGGGACAGGTAGTCCCTGGCTAGGCAGCTGCATCCAGCTGACAGCTCTATAACATGAAAGGAGAAGCACAAGTTTTGGTCCACGGAGAGCAGTCTCTACTATAATTGCTACTGCAAACATAGACTATGTTTTTCTCTGCATGTCAGACATAAAAGCTTATTAAGCAAAATACCTGAGAAGTTACTGTTGCCATGAACAAGCATCCAAACATGCAGCAGTGCTCAGGAACACCTCTCAACATGTATGTAATACTCAGTATTATATTTTCTGCAGTAATCTAGGAATTATTTATCTTATCACAAGGAATATTTACTGTGGTAGTTAATTTTATATGCCACCTTCACTAGGCTATTGTTATAGACTGAATGTGTGTGCTCACCCAAAATTCATATGTTGAAACCAAATCCCTAATGTGATGATATTAGAAGGTGGGGTCTTTGAGAGCTGATTAGGCCATGTGGGTGGAGCCCTCATGAATGGAATTAGTGCTCTTATGAAAGAGGCACCAGAGACCTCTCAACCCCTTCCACCATATTCAGGGAGAAAACTGCCATCCATGAAGCAGAAAGTGGGCCCTCACTAGACGTCTAATTTGCCAGAGCTGATATTGGACTTCCAATACTCTAGAAGTGAGAGGAAGAAATTTCTATCGTTTTTTAAGCACCTCAGTTTATGGTATTTTGTTTAGCAGCCCAAATGGACTAAGACAGCATGGTGACCAATTGTTTGGTCAAACACCAGCCCAGAGGTTGCTGTAAAAGTATTTTATAGATGTAATTAACATTTACAATCAATTGATTTTAAGTGAAGAAGATTATCCTTGATAATATGGGTGTACATCTACCAATCAGTTGGAGGCGTTAAGAGTGAAAACTGAGGTTTCCAGAAGAAGGAATTCTGCCTCAGGAATGCAACATCTACCCTTGCCTAAGTTTCCAAATTGTCAGATTGCACCATGAATTTCAGATTTCCAGGCCCCACTAACTCCTGAGCCACTCCTCCTCGACCCTCTGTTTCAAACTCTATTTCTCTCTCTCTCTTATTGGTTGAACCCTAGGAATCTATGAATATGATTTCTTCTATCAGCTAAAATAGATGCCTGAATAATGCCCGCTAAACGTTCTGAGAACCAGTTGTTAAGTAGGTTAAGAATTAATGAAACATAAGTAGGTTTGAATATAAAACAAAAAAATAAGGAATGCTTTCTAAACCACTGGATGTATACTTCTAAATAAATAGAAACCTACATATAAGCATGAGTGTCCACATTTAACAATTATATGTGTGCACATACACACTAACTTAACACACACCACGCACTGCTGCTAACACCATTGCCATGATGAATTCACCTACATTTTACCATTTGAAAGGGTAGGGTTTTTCTCGTACAACCTTCTGGGATAATCTGGTGTTGTAAAGAGTAGTCAATTTGCTTTCAAATTCCAGCTCTGTAACTTAGTCAGTGTAAACATAGACAAGTTATTTAACCTTTTAAAACTTCAAATGCATAATATAAATAATGGGTGTGGTAGATATGAGTTCTAAATTTCTTTTCAAAGAATCAATATGTCAGTATGTTCAATTCTTTGACTTCTACTTTTAAACTTTACTTCCTCATAAAGCAACCTTTCTCGATTACCTGCTCCACCCTGACTCATTTCAATCACCTGCTCCACCCTGACTCATTCTGATTACCTGCTACCTGCTCCTCCCTAACTCATTCTCCACCCTGCATAACCATTTTTCCCGCCAAACCACTTATCCTGACCCTGTCACTCTCTTTAAATCAGCCAATTGGAATGAGTTTAGCCTGTGCAGTCTAACCCTAGCCAATAGGGGAAGGACAGAGCAGCAGGGGCCACGCGCGTCAGGGTTAAGAACCCCTTCCCTGCCCTTGTCCAAGTGGGCTCACCATTGCTCCCTCTGTAAGGGAGTACCCATCTATAGAAATAACTTGACTTGCTGAGAATTACAAAGAAAATTTTATATTCAAGTGCTATTTCTTTTGCGGCACCGAAACTTTATTTATAACGATTGTTATAATAGTTCCTAACTCATAGTTTTTTGTGAGAATTAAAAGATGTAATCTGTGTGAAGTGTAAAACATTTAGCAGTATATAAACAGTTAATTAATGCTGATTATTCTTATTGTTGCTATTAGTTTTATTATTAGACATTATATTTCTTCTCTTTCAAAAATACAACAGTAACATTCTTCAGATAAATTGAAAGGATGTGATGCCTTGGGCTAGATGTTGGTAGATTAAAAATCCAAATGTCAAAATGTAGCTGTATATAGATAAGGTAAGAATAACCTCTTTTTTGTCACTGCAGTGGAAAGAGTAACAGTAAAAATTCAAACAGAATAAAAGTAATAAATAGAAATGTTAGAAAATAATACTTAAATTGTATGACTGTTATTTTATTATTGCCTTGAAAGGAAAAGAGAGATCCACTAATGAGTCACAGACGTGTCATTAAAATTAAGGGAATACTTAATTATCTTTGGAGACAGGCTTCATTTTTCAAAGTGTTCTACAACTCATATTATAGATGAAAATCTCCCTATTACTCCTTCATAACAGATATTAAAGTTCCGTGGATTTTTCAAAGCCAAAAAATATAATTTAAAAGCAATCAGACGAGAATTTTCATAAACCTCCTTTACCACATCCCCCATCCATGCCAGCTTTTGTGCCCATATATTTTGCCTTCCTTTTGGCTATTGAAGTGAAATGTCTACCTCCTCTCCTGGTGGAAATATGATGCATCTCATCACTTGGCTAATTCCTTATCTGGTACACTAGACCCTGGATTTACTTTCATCTCCCCTACTCAGGGACATCATGCCTCACTCTAACAGTTCTCCCCTCTGTCTTTCTCCTATGCCATCAAAACATCAAAACATTCTTCTCTACTGTATCCTTCCCATCAGTTCAACTGTGCTTTTATTTCTGTCATCCCTAACATACAATCAAACCTAAAACAAAACCTTACCCCTCTTCTCTCTCTAGTTACTGACACATCTCTCTATTCAATTTTGCATCAAAAACTCCTTACCAGACTCAGTTTCTCCAAGTCCCACCTCCTACTCTTCTTCACTTACTCCAGTCCAGTTTTTGTTCCCATCACTCCAGTGAAATGGTACTAGTTAGGATCACCCGTGACCTCCAAGTTGCTGAATCCTGTGACCAACTCTAGGCTCACATTTAACTTTATCAACAGCATTTGACTGAGAGGATCATTCCCTTCTCCTGAAGATCCTTTCTTCTGTTGGCTTCCAAAGCAGCACTCTTGGATTTTCTGACCCGGAGCCATGCATTCTCAGTCTCTTTGGAAGTTCTCTTATCTCACTAACTGATGTAGTGGCTCAGGGTTCAATCTTTAGTCTTCTCCTCTCTAGCCACAATCTTTATATCCAGGCATTGGTTTGATACATGCTTTGTATTTTGAAGACTCCTGTCCTAGTCTGTTTTCTGGTGGTTATAATAGAATAACTGACACTGGGCAATTTATACACACACACACACACACACACACACGTGTGTGTATATATATATAAATTGCTTCATATATATAGTGTGTGTGTATATATATATATATGAAGAAATATATATATATATATATATATATATATATGAATGAAACAATTTATTTTTATCAGTTATGGAGACTGAGAAGCTCAGGGTTGAGAGCCCATATCTGGTGAGAGCCTTCTTGCTGGTGGGGACTCTGCACAGTCCCAAGGCAGTGGAGAGCATCACATGGTGAGGGGACCAAGTGTGCTAACTCAGGTCTCTCCTCTCTCTGCTTATAAAGCCACCAGTCCCAATCTTGTGATAACTCATTAATCTATTAATTCATTAACTCATTAATCTATTAATTCATGAATAGATTCATTTATTTGGGAGGGCTCTGTCCTCATGACCCAACTACCTCTTAAAAGTCCCACCTCTCAATATTGCCACATAGGGAATTAAATTTCAACATGAGTTTGGAGGGGACGAACATTCAAACTGTAACAACACCCACAATTATATCTTTAGTTCTGACAGGTCTTCTTAACTCCAAATTCTTACATTCAATATTTAAAAGCCTACCGTATAGTCTAAAAGACATCTCAAACTCACATATTCAAAACTGAATTTCCCAACTCACCGCCCCCATATGCCATAACCATAGTGTTCTCCATCTCAGTCAATGACAACTCTATTTATCCATTTGTTCACGGACTCCTTTGACAGAATTCCTTTTTTTTTTTTCTTTTGAGACAGGGTCTTACTCCATTGCCCAGGCTTGAGTGCAGTGGTGTGATCTCCACTCAGTCCTGAGCTCAGGTAATTCTCTCACTTCAGCCTCCCAAGTAGTTGGGACTACAGGTGCATGCCACTGCAACTGGCTAATTTTTTATATTTTTAGTAGAGATGAGGTTTTGCCATGTTGGCCAGGCTGGTCTTGAACTCCTGGCCTCAAGTGATCTGCCCACCTCAGCCTCCCAAAGTGCTGGGATTACAGGCATGAGCCACTGCACCTGGCCTGACATAATTCTTGAGTCTTCTATTTTTCTCACAGTCTACATCTAATTTATCAGAAAATCCTGTCTTCAAAATATATCCAGTGATCCCACCACTTCTTACCATTATCATTGTGTCAAAGAAAAAATGACACTATATAAAGTTATACAGGTAAGAAAGACTTTATTCAAGGCTATTGAACTAGAGGAGAAAGGCCTGGAGTTCAACTTTTCTGAGACGAAAAGCTGGAAAGTGTTTAAAAGCTGTGTCAGGAGAGGATCATTGGCCACCTGTGTTTGCTAATTGGCCTTACCCAAAGAAAAAGTAAACTTTATCCTACCTTCACGACAGGGGATAGTTTTACAACTTGGAATAAGCCATTCCTGAAGTCACACTCCTAATTCCTGTAGAAACTGGGAGACAGGGCCACAATCACCTTTAATTTCATTTTATCTCTCACTTAACTTGCCCCAGCGACACTAGTTTTTTTGATGTTCTTTGAATATAGGAACCAAACTCCCTATTCAGGGCCTTGGCAATTGTTTTGGACTCTTATGTAACTTGTCCTAAAAACCTTAGAGATTAATTTACATCTACATAAGAACAATTATTATTTACATATTTTGAATACTTTGTATTTCTATATTGAGGCTCATAATTTCCTCAAAATATAATGTTAAACTTTAAAGCAATCCTTAGTGATAAATTTAGAAGTTTTTAATTTTATAGACTTTTTAAAAAAACAAATGCACATATCCATGTTCTAACATATTGGATTCTGCATTTGGGGGACTTTTTCTCATCCGGGAGTTGAATCAACATTTTCTGGGTACCTTCCATGTGCCAGGTCCTGGTACTAAGCATGTAAATCTTCATACCTTAGTGCCCAATACGAAGTCTCGCACACATAGCCAATACTCAGTAAAATATTTATTGGTGACATCCACATTGGCATCACTTGACTAAATGCTATACATGCAAAAAGTGGCATTTATTGTATGTCAAGAGCTTCTCATCAATTATTCTATTAGATCCTCCAACAATGCTATGAAGAAGGAGTTATTTACATTTGGAAGATTTTAAAAAACAGAGTTTAGAGCAATTTTCTAATAGGCCTAAGGGATAGAATATGATGCAAACTTTGGAATACAACCCCAGTCTAGCAGACTCCAAATTCCATGAACTTGCTCTGCATCATACTGCTTTTCTCATTTTATAGGGGAGAAAACAGGTCCAAAGAGGCTACGTGATTTCTGTAAACATTAACTTGCCAGGAAAATATAGTTTATAACACTCTGAGTAATGACTGAGTCCCACTGAGCTGAAATAAAGGATAGTATGTGATTATATCAAAATGGAACAGGAATATGAAAGAGGAAGAGACAAATGTGGGTGGGAACAGCTGTGAAGGCTTCATGGAGGAGGTGAGGATTAAGTCTCAAAGAATGTTGTAATCAGAGAGAAGGGAATGCTGTGAGAAACACAACTAGCGGAGTCTCAGAAGCAGGAATATGCATCGGCGTTCAAGGGGAAATAAGGAAATGGGCTGAGTGATATGAAGGTGTGAGTTAGACAGTGGCATGAAATCAGGTTACAGATTGCAGGTAAACAGGCTCTGAAGACTTTGAATGACAAGATGAATTAATTGAATATACTGAATTAGTAATTGAATTAAAGAATTAAAGTAACTGAATTAAATTGAATTAAAGAATATAATTTATATATAATATAAAGAATATAATTTAAGAGACGACCCAGGTTAAGTTAAAGATCATCTTAGTATACCAAAGCCCAGGTGAAGAGAGACCTTATTAATCTAAAAAATTTACTATCAAATTTAGAAGAAAACACACACATTTAAGCTCAAAAATATAAGGTACTGAACAACATGCAGAACGTGTTAACATTTGGTGACAGAAAATGACTACCAATTATACATGCATATATATTTACGTATCCATTAACTAACTCCATGACAATACATAATTAGAAACAGTGGTTATCTCTGGGAAGAGGAATTGAGTGACTGGGAAACACAGACAAAACAGAGATGTGATTTTCATTTTATTTGTCCTTTTATACCTCTGGGATTTTTCTACCATGTACTTGTATTAACGATTGTAATCAACTATTACGAAAGGACCAGCAACATGAACAAAGAAAGAGAGGTTGGAAAGAACAGGATGTGTCTGAGGTTTTCGGTGAGGCTGAGAGCCTGGGGAAGAGGGGAATATAAGCCTGGAAGAAGTCAGGAAGGCATTGCGAACATGCTTTTGTGCTATTCTGGGGTTTTGTTTATGATTATATCTCTGTCAGCCAACAATGCTGAGACACAGCAAGTATTCAATAGGTTAATAAATGAAAAAGAAGCAAACAACAGCAATCCGTGAAATTATTCCTGCATATTATGCTCTTCTCTGAGCCTACTTTCCTATCATTAAAAGCAGGGGTTTGAGCCTGGATACTTTTTAAGGTCCTTGCTTGTTTTTATAGTCTATGATTTGGATTCACAATTTGCCTCCTGTTGGCTGAATACAAGAGCATTGATTCTTTCAGATCACTGAAACGATGACCAAGAATCAGTTATCTTTTCTCAGAAGATATTACATTTAAAACTAAAACTTCATCCAGATTCCCAAATACTTTTTTAAAATGTTTTTTTAAATGTTTTTTAAAATGTTTTTAAAATGTATTTTTAAAAATACATTAACTATCTTCTGAGTAGTTTTCAATGGCAATTTATTATAAAGATAATATGAGGCTATATAGGAGGGTATATTTTAATCAGGTTCTGTTCACTAAAAGTCCTAAAGTAGGTAAGCAGTTACTAGGGATGGCTACTACATGGATAAAATACAATTTCCAATCAGAACAGCATATATCCAAGAGCAAGCTTCTCGTGGCTGCAATATCCTCACTCCCCACCAAACTCCCACCTCTCCCGACATAAATCATTTCTTCACTCTTGATAAAAATTAACTCATACAAGTTATAAGACTTTTACTTCTCTTTCCTGTTAGATTGAGTATCTCTACAGTGTCCTTCTCTTCTCCCCAGACTGAAGTATATGTCCAGAGTGTAAATACCAGTAGGATTGGGTATTCATGAAGATAAATGTGTTTGTTTATCAAATTCTCCTTTTGTACTGTTTGCCAAAGACAGGATGTTCCTAGGATATGGTCCCACCTATTTTACAGGTGAGAAAACAGGTCCAAAGGGATTGGACTCTCATCGTTTGGCTGTTCAATCTTAGAAAGTCACTTTTCTTTCTTCATTTTTCAAGGGTCAGTTTTCTCATATCTACAAGGAAGGGAAGTTAACTGAATGTATACGAATTTGCCAATGTCTCCACCTCCAAATTATTTCCATGCCTAGTGGTGCTGTAGGAGTTATTAAGTAATTATTTCAGGCAGATGGAGAGGAAAACGGGTCCTTGAAAAGTTTTCATTTTTAAAACAGCTCTTAGAGCCAGGCCAGCAATCTTTGATATGCAAATGCAGGCCATTAGAAACTGGGTCCACCCAAACATGGCATTCCCTCGGCCTTCTGGCCCTTGCCCCTGCCCCACATATTCTGGGCAATGTGGCCGCCTCCACATATCCCCACGTGTGTAGAATATCATGGCACCCTGCATTTGCATATTAAAACGCTGGGGTGGGAGGGCCAACGTTTTCCACGGGCTCCATGAATGACATGCCTGGTCAAACCAATCCCCTGAGCTCTATGCAAATCAAACACTGCCTTCTCCAGCCTACTGGCTGGTATCTGTGGCACTTGGGGTTTCCTCTTTCAGCTTTGGAGCCCCCTTCCTTCTGTCTCTGTAAGGCTAGCCTCTTCCTTCTGCCTTCTCTTTTCTTTCTTGCCTATTAAACTCTCCACTCCTTAAAGCCACTCCACGTGTGTCCGTGTTGTTTTAGCTAATCCACACGAGACAAGAGTCCTGGTGTTCCTCTACTCACTGGAGCCGTATCAGTGGTAAAACTTAATCAAAACTATATCAATATAATATAAGCAGTGCCACCAAAGGTAGAGACTGCTCAGGAATAAAGATGAGGATAACCCCAATAAGATCCATGACCATGTTCTAAAGCATGGCAAATACAATGGACTGAAGAAGTGAGTAAAAAATTCCATAAGCAAACACATTATGTGGTAGAGTTACTAACCTAATTTTCCTTCAAATGATATGAATTTCATAAGGAATATATGGTCTATTCATTGTGATTAGTATAGTTTTCCTCCATTCTGGACAGTAATTTACTTACATATTCCAATTCCTTAAGGAAACTCAGTAGAGAACTTTCAAAGGAGTCCTTCATAAATACCTCAAGATTATCAGATAGGCAGCAGAAACTTGAACTGGGACCCTGCTTGGTCCACGTAGAAAAACAGCCACCCCATAACCAAATGCCAGTTACTGGAAACTAAAGATGTGCTTCCTCTTTAATATGTACTTCACCCAGAATTGCTACTATGAGGTAGTCAGGATTCTGAACCTCATAGTGAAATAGTGACCTCAATATCTGGCTCTAGCACCAAGGGATGAAAATGGAAAAAGAAGAATAAAGAGAAATGCTTCAAAGGAGATTGTTCCAGGACTACCAGTAGTTCTCTACTAGGTTTACAAGAACTGATCCAGCAATGGAATACAAATGCACTAGTGATCCCAGCCAAGATACCAGAACCTGACCAAGGTCAGGTGACCCATGGCACCTTTAGAAATAATGCACGGTTTTAAATAACTGTTTTGGGAGTGGTTTGTTATGAAGCAGTAGCTACTGATCTGGTTGTACTTTCCCTAAGGGTGTTCCTCTTCTCCCACTTCCTTATTGGCAGAGCCCGCCTCCCACACCCTGGCTTTCTCAGCTCTCCTTGCACCAGCTCCACTGCTAGCTCATAGGAACTGAAGAGAAGACTTCCAGGAACTTTTCACAAGAAGCCTCTCCTTTCTTCCATGCTTTGCACTTTTTCTGGGAGGATATGAGGCTTGGTGCTACTAAGACCACCCTGTAATCATTAATATTTATAGGGATACTAATAATACCAACTTCACAAGAAATTGACAGGATTAAGTAAATATATGTAAAGTACTTAGGAAAGTTCCTGGAACATAATGTCATTTAGTCTTAGCTAAAATTTGACTGGAGGTGACATAAATATACTAATGATATAACTTTATTATATACAAAGAAAATGGCATTTGGCTGGAACTTACTAAGTGATAACCATACTACTGTTATTAACAAAAAGGAGAGTCTTATTGAGTTGTGAGATTAATGATATACATGTTCAATTTTATTTAATATGTACAAGTAGTTTTTGATTAATACAATTTAATTTTAAAAACCAAAAATTAATTTTAAAAATTTAAAAATATTTTCAATTTAATAATTTATAATTTTATGTTAATAATTTAATAATTTTTATTTAAAAGTAAAAATTGAAGTTTTAAAAATAAAATGTCACTGTTAGTAAACATTCATGAAGATATTAGTCTGTCTCAGAGATAGTACCTACCTAAAATATAATTTTTCATGTTTCCATCATTATTTATGGTTGCTTTTCTTTGAAAATAAAGAATGCTTTTTTTTTCCCTAAAAACTTTTTCTTTTAGAAAAGTTTTAGGCTCACAGCAAAATTGGAGATACAGATATTTTTCATATAGCCCTGCCCCCACACGTACACATCCTCCCCCGTTATCAGCATCCCCCACCAGAATGATACATTTGCTGTAACTGATGAGCCTACGCTGGCACATCATTATCACCCAGAGTCCATAGGATACGTTAGGGTACACTGTTGGTGTTGTACGTTCTTTGGGTTTGGACAAATCTATAATGACTTTATCCACCACTATAGTACCATACAGAGTATTTTTACTGCTCCAAAATCTTTTGTGCTCCTCCTGTTCATCTCTCTTTGCCCCCTAACCCTTGGCAACCACAGATCTCTTTACTAACTCCACAGTTTTGTCTTTTCAAGAATGTCATATAGTTGGAATCGTATAGTTTGTAGCCTTTTCAGATTGGCTTCAGTAACTTAAGAGTGTTAATTTAAGTTTCCTTCATGTATTTTCATGGTTTGATAGCTCACTTATTTTTAGTAATGAATAATAATTCATTGCTTGGATATACCATAGTTTATTTTTTCATTCACTTACCAAAGGACATCTTGTTTACTTTCAAGTTTTGGCAATTATAAATGAAGCTGTTATAAACATCTGGGTGAATAGTGTTTCATTTTTAATCTGCCTTTGGAGATTACTATGTGAGGCCCTGATGATCAGAGAAGCTGCAGCCATCTTCAGAGCATGAGGGAAAAGCTCAGAGGATCACAAGACTTTGAGCTAGAACTTTTGACTTTTTTGGGCTATTAATTTAACCTACGTTGGAACCATCTGCCTCCAGAGTTTTTGTTGTACAAAATAGCGTGTGTTCTTACTGCTTAAACCACTTGAGGTAAGCTTTGCTGTAATTTGAATCTTAAGGAACTCAGAATTTCCTTGCCCTGTTCCCAGTGTTCTTAGGCAGTTAGGGGCTGAGAACTCTTGGCATAGGTCCTGTATTCCCAAAAAGTAGACTTGAGATTGTATCCATCAAATATCAGTGTTGGGGTGTTCCATCATTTTGTATTAGTCATTAGAAACATAATGCTATTGGAGAACATTTATATTTTTTAACAAAGAAAACAGCACAGAAAATGCACATACTTCATTTTTGTCTTATATAAACAAATATAAATATTTTTGATTCTCCAGCTATTTGTATTACAGAAAATTCTGTGCTTTTAAACCATTTTCTTTTAATTGTCTCTTTATTCTGCAAAACCTCTTTTGATATCTTAAATGGTTACTAACATTAATAATACAAGATGTCAGAATTTTCCTGGAAGTCATATACAATACTTCTGTTTATATCTTATCGGCCAGAATTTGTCACATGACTACTTGCTGCAAAAAAAAATCTGGTAAGTAGATTGTATGCCCACCAGCACTTTTTATTACCATGCCTGTGTCTCCATATTCTTAGTTGTTCCAACATTTCTAATTCTCTAGTGTTTGGCAGGTGAAGATAACTATTGTTATCAATTTTATTTCTTTTATGACTAGTGATGCTGAGCTTTATCTTCTAGATTCTTTACACAATTTAATTAATGACTTCATTACATCTACTAGGGCAGTGTGGTGTATCTAAATCATCATAGACTAATCTTCAATGTTGTATGCAAGGCCGGATAAAATTTCTTCTTGCCATGATTTCAATCTTTTTAATAGCAAGAAAGTGACTTTATATTTTAAAATGTATCTCTGTTAAGTGGGCACACAAAAAATAATGAAGAATAAATTAAGAAATAATATAATCTCAAGTCATTTAAAAATTCTATACTTTGATTTTTCTTAATTATTCACATAATTAGAAATTGAATTCATATCAATTTTCGCTAAAAAATGCCTAACTCCATGTCTAACACATAGTAAGCACTAAATAATCATTTGTTAAATGGATACATGAATGAAAAAATAATTAGCAGCATTGATTTTATTGGGAATAGAATCTAATATTTTTGTGTTTTCAACATTTTTAAGGTTGCTTTATCAAGATTATAGTGGTACTAGAAATATCTTTCCCATTTTCTTTCAGTTTTAACAAAATTAAAGATTCTTTCTCAATGTTTAGAATTTCACAATTGGATTTTATATGTGAATTAAGTTGTGGCTCCAGGGTGTGTAACACTAAATATTAACAGAAAATTAATTATCAGTAAGAGACTAAAAAGGCATCTCTTCATTACGATATTACTTTTGAAAGAATTTCATAGTATTCTTAGGATAAACACATTATTGTATGCTGCATTTTTTTTCTGTTCTCATAGATAGAAATTAATTTTGATTCCATTAGTTCTGCACATGGTAATAGTTTTAGGTTTTCTGTATTTGGTTTTATTTTTTTCTGTGAATGTTAATAATTTTGTAAAACTTTGTACACTGTAAATAAGATGACTATCCAAATCTCAGATAGTTACAAAGTGTTTTTCTATATTAGAAATATTTGTTTGAAAACTGGCAAGGTTGGGCCAGGTGCAGTGGCTTAAGCCTGTAATCTCAGCACTTTGGGAAGCCAAGGCGGGCGGATCATCTGAGGTCAGGAGTTTGAGATCAGTCTGGCCAACATGGTGAAATTAAAAATACTACGTTTATATTAAAAACATGAAAATTAGCCAGATGTTGTGGCAGGCGCTTGTAATCCCAGATACTTGGGATGCTGAGGCAGGAGAATCGCTTGAACCTGGGAGGTGGAGGTTGCAGTCAGCTGAGATTGCACCACTGCACTCCAGCCTGGGTGACAGAGTAAGACTCTGTCTCAAAGAAAAACAAAACAAAACAAAAAAAAACCCGGGCAAAGTTGTTAATGTAATTGGTAATATATATTTATTACTAAACTAATATAATTTGTAGATTTTGATAAAATAATACCTTCTACTTTGAACTTAACTTATATTTTATTCCATACATCTTGAGGAGAAAAACTACTTTATTTTACACATCTACAAGATGGGAACAATAATGCTACTTACCTCAGGATCATTGCAAATAATAAGACAAATTAATGGCTTAGAACAATGACTGGCATGTATGAAGTGTTCAGTAAATACCTGGCTGATTCTTTTCCTTCTTACTCTTGTTGTTACAATCTTTTTATTGCCTATATTAACTGTCTAATGATTAGCAAATGAATTAAAATATTTGGATATTAAAGCATAGACCTTTAGAAGTCTGCATGAACAGAGACCACACTTTGGACATCTTTTGTGTTATGCACAGGGCCTACCATTAGGCTGAGCATTGTGTCAACTATTAACTTGGCCATCTCCTCGATCCCATGTTCAAGTATGTGATATTATCTTCATTCATCATTCACAACTGATTCTTAAACATTTATTATTTGTCATGCACCTCTGGCAAAAAAAAAGATAAGAATAATAAAAGAAATGGACCTGGGTCTTGTTCTCATATAAACATATGGGAATCTACAAATATTCTTAAGAATATCTAAATATTTGTAATACAGAAACTCATACTGTTCCTTAAATCAGTTTCTTATAGTCTTCTCTTTCCAAAGTTAAATACTTTCACATTATTTATGAAGAGACACAAATTAACAGTCATCTACACTATAGCACTAGACATTCTATATTAAAGCTTTAAAAAGTGTTAGATGACTTATTGAAGAAATATAATTTAAACCATCTCTGCTTGCTAGCACAGAACCATGTAAACCAAAGCCTCAAATAAATTAGTTTATGAGCATATAAAGAATTGCTTTAAATGGAGACAAGAATAATTTGTTTGTACTTTCTCATTATCATCAAAAACATTTTCACTGTTAGCAGTATGGATAGTATAGTTAAATGTTATTAGGAAATATGAAAAATCTTCTCTGACTTCTTATGGCATATTAACTAACAGGGGTGGCATAAGGCTGAGAAGATGGCTGGGTACAGTGATATGGTTTAAATTTGTGTTCCTGACCAAATCTCATGTTGAATTGTGATCCCCAATGTTGGAGATGGGGCGTAGTGGGAGGTGTATGGATCATGGGGGCAGACTTCCCTTTTTGGTGCTGTTCTCATGATAGAGTTCTCACAAGATCTGGTTGTTTAAAAGTGTGTGGCACCTCTCCTGCCTTCCTCCTGCTCTGGCCATGTAAGATGTGCCTGCTTCCCCTTCACCTTTCACCATGATTGTAAGTTTCCCGAGGCCTCCACAGCTATGCTTTTTGTACAACCTGCAGAATCGGGAGCCAATTAAGCCTCTTTTCTTTATAAATTACCCAGTCTCAGGTATTTCTTTATAGCAATGTGAGAACAGACTGATACACAATATTACTACCAAGAGTGGGGCATTGCTATAAAGATAACTGCAAATGTGGAAGCGCCTTTGGAACTGGGTAATGGGCAGAGGTTGGAAGAGTGTGGAGGGCTCAGAGGAAGACAGGGAGATGAGGAAAAGTTTAGAACTTCCTAGAGACTTGTTGAATGGTTTTGACCAAAATGGACATTGAACTCCAGGCTGATAAGGTCTCAGATGGAATGAGGAACTTACTGGCAACTGAAGCAAAGGTCATGCTTTTATGCATTAATAAAGAGCCTGGCTTTACTGTGCCCCTACTCTACAGATCTGTGGAACTTTGAACTTGAGAGTGATGATTTAGGGTATCTGGTGGAAGAAATTTCTAAGCCGCAAAGCATTCAAGATGTGCCCTGCCTACTTCTAACAACCTATGCTCATATGCATGAGGAAAGAAATGACCTGAAACTGGAACTTATATTTAAAAGGGAAGCAGAACATAAAAGCTTGGAAAATTTGTGGCCTGGCCATGTGGTAGAAAAGAAAAACCCATTTTCTCAGGAGGAATTCAAGCAGGCTGCAGAAATTTGCATAAGTAAGGAGTTGCCAAGTGCTGATAGCCAAGACAATGAGAAAAAGGCCTCCAAGGCATTTCAGAGACCCTGGAGGCAGCCCAGCCCATCACAGATGCAGAGGCCTAGGAGGGAAGAATGGCTTCATGGGCCAGGACCAGCCCTGCTGCCTTGAGCCTTGGGGACACTACTTCCTGCATACCAGCTGCTCCAGCTCCAGCCATGGCTAAAAGGTCCCCAGATATAGTTTGGGATGCTGCTTCAGAGGATGCAAACCGTAAGCCTTGGCAGTATCCATGTGGTATTAAGCCTGCAGGTGCTTAGAGTGCAAGAGTTGAGTCTTGGGAGCCTCTGCCTAGATTTCAGAGGACATATGAAAAAGCCTGGATATCCAGGCAGAAGCCTGCTGCAGGGACGGAGCCCTCATAGAGAACCTCTACTAGAACAGTGAAGATGGGAAACATGAGATTGGAGCCCCTACACAGAGTCCCCACTTGGGTACTGCCTAGTGGAGTTGTGAGAAGAGGACTACCATCCTCCAGACCTCAGAATGGGAGATCCACTGGCAGCTTTTACCCTGCACCTGAATGAGTCATAGGCACTTAACGCCAACCCATGAGATCACCTGTGGAGGCTGAACCTTGCAAAGTCACAGGGGAAGAGCTGCCCAAGGTTTTGAGAGCCCACCCCTTGTGCAAGCCTGCTCAGAATATGGGACATGGAGTTAATAAAAATTATTTTGAAGCTTTAAGATTTCATAACTTCCCTGCTGGGTTTGGAAGTTGTATGGGGCCTGTCATCCCTTTCTTTTGGGCAATTTCTCCCATTTGGAACTCGTGGGTTTACCCAATGCTTGTACTCTCATTGTATTTTAGAAGTAACTAAGTTGTTTTGATTTTACAGGCTCACAGGGGGAAGGGACTTGTGTTGTCTCAGATGAAACTTTGGACTTTGAACTTTTGAGTTAATGCTGGAATGAGTTAAGATTTTGGGGGATTGCTGGGAAGGCATGATTGTAATTTGCAACGTGAGAAGAATACAAGATTTGGGAGGGGCCAGGGGCAGAATGATATGGTTTGGATTTGTGTCCCTGACCATATATCCAGTTGAATTGTAAACCCCAGTGTTAGAGGTAGGACGCTGTGGAAGGTTTTTGGATCATGGGGAGGGACTTACCCTTTTGGTGCTGTTCTTATGATAAAGTCCTCCTGAGATCTGATTCTTTAAGTGTCTGGTACCACCCCCCGCCACCCACTTCCTCCTACTCTCACCATGTAAGATGTGCCTGCTTCTTTTTTGCCTTCTGTCATAATTGTAAGTTTCCTGAGGCCTTCCCCACCATGCTTTCTGTACAGCCTGCAGAACCTGTGAGCCAATTAAACCTATGTTCTTTATAAATTACCCAGTCTGAGGTATTTCCTTATAGCAATGCAAGAATGGACTAACACATACAGCTTTTAGGTTTTAAAATAAATATGAGAGTTGAAAAATACTGCCTCATAAGGGCAATAACCAAATTAATGTGCTTGAAATAAACCTATCAATGCTCATTTGAGACTTTTCCATTTAAGAAATGCATCTACATGAAAAGCACATAATACTCAAATTTGTTGTGAGCTATCATAAATGGCTCCCCAAAAGGCTGACTTAATGACAATTATCAGATGCCAAGGAATACACCTTACTGTATCAGCCCAGTGAGGGAAGTGGTCTGGGCAAGGAATGGACTCATTAAGAAAAACAGTCTCCAGTGAATTCTTCTCAAATCTTTTGTGATTGAAAATCCCATCAGCACTTTATCTGTAAGTTGGTTGCTATGTGAGGTAATGGGGGTCAAGGCTTCTAGAACTACTACTGCTTGCAGAACATGAACTGATTAATTTTTATTCTAGATTCAGCTGTGTTAGAAATGTCATAGTCCTCTCTTAACCTCTATTTGTGGGATCTTCTATTTCTCTTCAGTTGTTCATCATCTAATGTTCAGAGCCCAGGATAATCACCCAGACTCATTTTTGGGTGTCTCTGTGTGGATACTTGAAGCAAAATAGGGAATGTTGCTCTAAATTGTTGACCATTTGGGAATATTTTCTCAACTCCACACTTTACACATTTGGTTCATATTAGGTAGTTTAGAGAACACAGTATACATCCCAGCTTGAATTTCAATTCTGCTGACTCTCACTACTAGGATCAGACACACCTAGACATACCCAGTAGGCAAGCAGGTTAGTTTCTTCAAGGGATGCTTGACGTAATTGTTTGAGACCTTCTGAGTAAAGAAATGAGACACATAAGCTCTTTCTAAGACTGATTTTCTAATATCAGAGAGAAGGTGTGATTTGGAGAAATTTATAGCTCAGTGTTATGGGTTAAATAGTGTCCCCAAATATCTATATTAAAATCCTAACCCATAGTACCTTCAGAACATGAACGTATATTTAGAGATTAGGCCTTTAAAGAGGTAATTAAGATTATTGGAAGAAAAATCTTTCTGTCAACTTAAGTTCAAGTGATCAGAACCTGTGAATTAACAGACATACTAAGGAGAAAAGACAGGTTTAATTCACACATATATAGGAACACACAGTAATGAATGACTCGGTGAATAGCCAGAGGTATAGGTCTATATACTACCTAAACAAAAGGAGGGTAAGTGGCTGTGGCCAGTGTCCAGGGTTTCAGTGGGGAAGTATGGAAAGTCCTGTTGGCTTTTTGATGCAAATAGAAATGGCAGTGTTTATCCAGGCTGAAATCTCAGCCTGAAGAGGAGGGGGGGTGTTATGACAGTGTAATTTATACTTCCTGCTGCCAAGGGCTAGTATTCTCCTGTATCAGGGTTCTCCAGACAAACAGAACCAATAATATATATTGACATATTACTGATAACCAATTATATATACATATGAATATTTATGTATAATATATACATATATGAAGAGATTTATTATGAAATATTGGCTCACATAGTAGGAAAGTTGGCAGTGTAATTTCAGTGCAAGTCTGAAGCTCTGAGACCAGGGAAACCAATGGTGTAAATCCTGGTCCAAGGGCAGGAGAAGACTGATGTCCCAGAGCAAGTATGTGGCAAGAAGCAAAGGGGCCAAAATCTTCCTTCCTCTGACTTTTATTCTATTTAGGCCCTCAATAAATTGGATGATGCTTTCTCACCTTAGGGAGGTCTGTCTACTGAGTCCACTGATTCAAATACTAATGTCACCTGGAAACACCCTCATAGACACACCAAGAAACAATGTTTAATCTGGGCACCTCTTGGCCCCATTAAATTGCCATGTAGAATTAACCATTTTAGCCCTCTAATAGGAAACTGCTTTGGAGGGGGTCAATGGCAGCTGTATTTGGGGAGTCTCTGCTAAGTTTAGATTATGTTTCTTTATGTGGCTGCTGATTGTTTAGATATTCTTCAGTTAAAGTAATCTTCATATCACTTTGGTGGGCTGTTAACCCTTTCAAGGTTAAATGAGGTTATTAGGGTGGGCCCTAATCTGGTATGACTGGTGTTTTTATGAGAAGACACAGACACACAGAGAGAGCACTTCACGTAAACATGAAGACAGCCCTTCTACAAGTCGAGGACAGAGGCTTTAAAAGGAACTGACTTTGCTAACACCTTGGTCTCGGACTTCTACCCTCCAGAACTGCAAACAAATTTCTATTGTTTGAAGTAGTCAGTTTGTGATACTTTGCGATGACAACCCTAGCAAATTAATACACTCAATTTTTTTTTTAATCCTATGAGTTCTGTCAAAAAGAGAAAGAAATGTCTGTGTGACAAAGTTAAACTTAAAAAATGTTAACTCATAAAGTCTCTGTGAGATGTTGGATGTTCAAAGAGGCATTTTCACAGGTCATGTGTAAATATAGCAAGAAGGAATGGGCCCACCATAGCACAGGAGTGTCAGCACTGGGGTTATTCATAGCAGGAGACACCACCTCCAGCAGTGGATTCAGCTATAGCTTACCGAGGCCATTCCTTTGAACAGAACTTAGAGCACTCAGAGGATAAAACTGCAACAAAGCCCAGCTTTGCAGGCACTATAGAACTCAGTAGACAGTGGAGGCTGAAAGGACTTGCCTGTGACCATATGTGAGGCTTCTCTGAAAAGTTCTGGAAGTAATTTGAGGAAACACTGGGGGTGCAGGATGGTCACAGAAGGATGTGGATTTATAATTTACTATAGTTAGATGGTGTCAGCACCAGAGAAGTAATTACTTATTTATTTATTTATTTATTTTCACATTAAAGCAATATTATTACCTCTAGGCTGGGGCAAATACACATGACATTGGGACAGAAGACAATCCTCACATTGGCATTAGAATAAAGAAACTATAGACATATCAGAGAGGATCAGACTTTGTGGTCAACAGATTATTCTGTCTCCAGAATTGAATTTGATCCTTCTACATTAAATCTACCTGTATTTTGTTTTAAATAACATTTTATCCTTCTCAGATGTGAATTCACTTAATAAGTGACTATAGATCTTCATCTTTAGTAAGGACTTGGGCATCCCATGAAAAGCAGCTGGTTAACTGATACAGAACAGTACACAGCAAGTGTAATTGAACTGGCAAAAGTCTGTCTTTCTTAAGATGGCAGCCTCCAAAATGATTTAATAAAGAGAAAAGAAAAAAGGCCAATTCAATAATTTTGAATAATAACTTTGATTTTATCTTAAGAATGTTTCTTAAATTAGAAATATTATAATATTGCATTTGAATATAATCCTTCTTTTCCTAAGGCCTTCAAATAATGTATTAAGGTGTTATTACATATATTCTAGCTCATGTACCAATATGTAAGTATTATCACTGCCTTGTTTATGGAAGATTTAGAATCTTCTTGATGTTTTACAAGCTGAGTCAGTGCCAGATAACTAAAAAATAATAGCAAGGTGTTTGCAAGCCTCAAACCATATTAGAGATTATAACTGAGACACAGAGAAATGACTTAAAGAGAATAAAAGCAATTATGATGTAAACCAAACATAAAATCCTAAGCTCCCCAACCAATTAAATGGTGCCCTCCTCTTGGCCAAGTGCATTACAAATTTAACCTGAAACACTAGTCCAGGCCATAATGGGACGGGGGAGTCATACACGCCTCATTATACCCTCCTCCCTTTGGAATTTAGTCACAATTGACCAGCCTTAACATTAAAACAGAGACCTTATGACTGACAAAGCAGACTGTTTGTAGCAATATGATACCAACATGACAAACAGCAGGCCCTGAAGGAAAGAAAAGCATTTTACCCCAAAGTATATATATTTTTTCAACATATTTTGAAAATGGCCCTGCAAAGCTGTCTCTTACAGGGGAAAATCTACAATCTGTAGAGAATTCCTTTTCCTTTCCAGGTCTTTTTCCTGATTCAGGAGAGAATTAACTAAGAGTCTGGCACTTGATAAGTCTGATAATAAAGTTTTACAATCTATTCTCTCTGAAGCCTGCTACTTGGAGGCTTCATCTGCCTAATAAGAACCTTGGTCTCTACCATCCCTTATCTTAACCCAGACAGTCCCTTCTATTGATTCTAAGTCTTTAAATAAACTCTTTAAACCAATTGCAAATGAGAAAATCTTTGAATCCACCTATGACCTGGAACTCCGATCCCCTTTGCTTTGAGTTGTCCCACCTTTCTGGACAAAACCAATGTACATCTTATATGCATTGATGAATGTCTTATGTCTCCCTAAAACATATAAAACCAGCACCCTGGGCACATGGTCTCAGGACCTCCTGAGGATGTGTCAGAAGGATGTCCTTAACTTTGGCAAAATAAACTTCTAAACTGATTGAGACTTGTCTCAGATATTTTTTGTTTACAGTGAACAAAAGGGAAAACACCTGGATAATTTTGCTCTTTGACTAAGGTGATATGGTCTGACTGAAAGTCCAAATCTACCTCCTACTGCCCTCTACCATGTTCACTCCACTCCAGGCTCAGTGTTCTTGCTGTTTCTAACTCCCCGAGCATGATATTCTTGTCTAGGTGTCTTTACATCTGTTTTATTTTTTTTTCTTTACCTGGGATGCTCCTTCTCCATAGCTCTCCTCTGCATGTCTCTAAGGTGACACATCCTCAGACAGGCCTTCTCTGTTGCCCTATCTCAAACAGTATTCTCCTTCATTACTCTATTTTTCAATGTAGCACCTATTCTTCCTGCATTTAGTAATATAAATTTACATTCCTTTATCCCAACCCTTTGAGAATAAATGTGCTTCCAGAATAAGACATTTTCCTCCCAAATTTTAGAAAGATAATATAGGACATTTACTGTATATTATGTAACCCCTTCCCCCAACACACTTGGCCTCAGCCACTGATTTACAATAAAATTCATTACTAGTAATTAATTTTAAGTGGGATAAATAAAGACTATAGATAGCTTTATGTCAGTTCAAGACAAGTTTTTGCCAACAAATAAGTTATAAAAGAATCTTTGGTTTTCAGAACTTCTTGAATTGTAGAACTGTGGGTAGGAGATTTGGGGAATACATATAAAAATATAAATGTAAATATATAGAGAGACTTGCTTGCTTGTGTGTTTGTTTGCTTTTCCCATAAAATGTAAGCTCCATTAGGTCAAGGGCATGGTCTATAGGTACTCAATGAGTATTTTGTAATTAAATAAGACTATTTTCCACCTGATGATCCTTTTGTACCATTACCAGTAGACACTGATGTAGACTTTCAAAAATCTCCCATATATATGTAAGAGATGTTGGTCTGAGGGGCACTGGACTCTGAGATGTCATGAGCAGTATAACATAGTGGATAAAATTTCAAACTCTGGAAACAAGCTGAATTGGCTTCCAAGCATGATGTTGGTCCTACCATATTCTGTGGGAACCTCAAAGAACTTTAATTTTCTCATCTATAAAATGGAGAATATAACACATTGTGGATAAACAAGAACACCAAAGAGAGAGAAAGCAATAGAGAAATCATTCCCAAAGCCATGAATCTCAATCCGTTTCTAATTGGAAACAAAATCTGCTAAATACCCTCTACATTTTAAATGATTCATTTCTTCCTTTTTGTCCCTAACCAACCAACATAGATAGATAAGAGGGTGTCGTGAATTGTTCTCTTTGTTTTAAAGGTAAAAACTATTTGAAAAAAAAAAAAAAAAGCCATGTATGCCAAGAATCAAGACAGTATGGTGTTAGCAGAGGGACAGAGGGACAGACACATAGATCAATGGAACATATAGACCCACACAAATATTCTCAACTAATTTTGACAAAGGTACAAAACAATTCAGTGAAGAAAATGTAGTCTTTTCAATATCCATTGCTGGAGAAATTGGACATCCATGGGCAAAAATATGAACCTCAACCAAACTGTACACCCTTTAAAGATAGAAGATGAACTTCAAATTCAAACTTTTAGAAAAAAAAATGAGTGAAAATATTTGAGACTTAGGACTAGGAGAAAAGGTATCAGTTTTGACACCCAAGAAAAAAAAGATTCATAAAAGGAAATAAAGACAAAATAGACCTCTTCAAAATAGAAATAAAAATAAACAACTTATCCTCTGTGAAAGATCATGTCAGGAGGATGAAAACACAAGCTACATATGGGGTCAAAATATTTGAAAATCACATACCCGACAAAAGCCTTGTATCTAAAATATATAAAAACTCTCAAAATCCAACATGAAACAACACCACCACCACCAAGTACTCCAGTTTGAAAGTAGGCAAAAGACATAAATAGGTATTTCTCTGAAAAAAAAATACAAATGGTAAACAAGCACATGAAAAGATGATTAGCCATGAGGGAAATTAACGTTTAAAACCACACTTAGTAGACATCCCTACACACTTATTAAAATGGTTCAAAAAATAGTGATAATGTCAAATGCTGGTTAGAATGCAAAGAAACTAGACCACTCATTTATTGCTGATGAGAATGTAAAGTAATGTAAACACTCTAGAAAATAGTTTTATAATTTCTTAGAAAATTAAATCTGCACTTACACATGACCCAGCAATTTGACCCTGTACATTTATCCCAAATAAATGAAAATTTATGTTCACACAAAAACAGGTACACGCATTTGTAGAAACTTTATTCATAGTAGCCCCCAACTGGAAACAATGTAGATAGACTTCAGTGGGTGAATTATTGAAAAACATTCACATTATGGATTACTACTCAGCAACAAAAAAGAACAAACAAGTGGCACATACAACCACTTGAATGGATCTCAAGGGGATTATGCTATCTGAAAATAGGTACTCTCAAAAGCTTATGCATACTATGAGGTTTCATTTGTGGAACATTCTTGAAATGATAAAATTATAGAGATAGAAAATATATTATTACTGCTAGGGACTGAGAAAGGGAGAAAGGAACAGATAGAAGAGTGTGTAACTGTCATAGGATTCTTGTGCTGATGGAACTGTTATGTGTCTTGACGGTGATGGTTGTTAAATAAATCTATACCTGTGACAAAAATAAAATGGAATGAAGCACACAAACACATGCAAATTAGTGCATGTAGAACTAGTGAAATCAAATAAGGTTAATGGATGGCATTGTCATTTTCCTGGTCGTAATTCTGTACTATAGTTATGCAAGATGCTACCCTTGGGAGAAACTGAAGGGTATACAAATTTCTCTGTATTTTTTTTTTTTAACAACTGCATGTGAATTTAGAATTTAAAAATGTGCAATTAAAGCAACGTGTAATCATGAACTTTTTTTTTTGGTCAGGATAAACCAGTAAGTAGGATATATTTTCTGTGATTCAATATAATTTTATAATTTTTTGTCCTTTCAATAATCTGCAATCTTTCCATAACTAGACAATAAATGATTCATATAAAAGAGTTAGCAAGTAATTGGAATACATTAATTAGAAAGTCAAAATTATGAAGATGAATCAGCTCAAAATGGAAATATTTCTTTTCTGGAAAATTTATCTTGCTATTTCACATTGCAATTGTCTCTAAAATACATGAGTTTATAACCAGGTAAAAGTAAAAATTTCCAGAATCTTGGTCCAATAGATCATTATTTCACATAAACATTGGATTGTAGTAACCTCAGAAATGGAAAATTAGCTTTGGTTATAATTTTCCTATAAAGCCAATAGGCAATCATAACTGTACTCATAAGCAATGATTCAAATTCCTGCTTAACTAAGTCGTACATACTTGTCATAAATGAAGATGATTTTAATAGTGATTTGAAGAAAAAAGAATGTATTTTTTAGAGCAGTTTTGGGTTTACAGCAAAACTGAAAGGAAGGTATAGAGATATTTCATACACCACCTGCCCCCACACATGTACAGCCTCCACCCTATTGAAATCCCTCACCATATTAGTACATTTGTTACAATATATAAACCTACATTGACATATAATTATTATTCAGAGTCTGTAGTTTACACTGGGGTTTACTTTTGATGTTGTATATTCTATGGGCTCAGACAATTGCATAATAAAATTTATCTACCATTATAATATAATATAGAGTATATTTAGATCCCTAAAATTCTTCTCCATTTCACCTATTCATCTCTCCCTGTCCCCTAACTCCTAGAAACCCCTGATTTTTAAAATCTTTATAGTTTTGACTTTTCAAGAATGTTATATAGTTGGAATCATACAGTACATAGCCAATTTAGATTGTCTTGTTTCACTTAATAATATGTACTTAAGTTTCCTTCTTGCATTTTCATAACTTGATAGCTAATTTCTTTTTAGTGCTGAATAATATTCCATTGTTTGGATGTACCAAAGTTTATTTGTCAATTTGCCTACTAAGCAATATCTTGTTTGCTTCTAAGTTCTGGCAATTACAAATGAAGCTACTCATTACTCATAATAATAACCATCTGTGTGCAGGGTTTTGTGTGGATGTAAGTTTTATGTGCAGGGTTTTGTGTGGATACTACTTAGTATCTCCTTTAAGTAGATACTAAGCAGCACAATTGCTGGATTGTGAGGTGAGAGTATGTTTAATTTTGTAAGAAACTATGAAACTCTCTTACAAAGTGGCTGAGCTTTTTCTCATTTCCACTAGCAATGAATGCAAGTTCTTGTTGCTCTATATCCTCACCAGCTTTTGGTGTTTGATAGAGAACTCTCATATACCCCATACTCAGCTTCTCTTATTATTAGCACATTACATAATTATAATGCATTTGTCTCAATTAATGAACTAATATTGACATATTATTCTTAACTGAAATCCATACTTTATTCAGATTTATTTAGTGTTTATCCAATGTCCCACGTCTGCCTCAGAATCCCATCTAGGATACCATAATGCTTTTAGTTATCATGACTTCTTACACTCATCTTGGCTATAGCAGTTTTTCAGACTTTGATTGGTTTGGTGACCTTGACAGTTTTGAAGATTACTGGTCAGGTATTTTTTAGAATGTCCCTTAACTGATATTGTTTGATATATTTCTCACTATTAGAATGGAGTTATGGGTTTGGAAGAGAAAGACCAGAGGTAAAATATGCATATCATCATATGTATATTAAATATATAATATTTATATTATTAATTGATTTTAAATATCATATCATGGTTATTAAATATGATTTTGACATCTAGAATTTTGCTGTGAGAGCATCCACAAACAGCTCTGGAGAGGCAACCAGGTCTCAGTTCTAACAGAAGCAGTTAGAGAGCTGTGAACCATAAATTTGCCTTTTCTAGGTTTCTGTTCGCTCACTGGAAAATGGAATTTTCTTCCATTCCAAAAGTTCTGTTACTCATATTAGCCAAGGGCACTGGGCCTGTTCTGTGACATTAGGGCTCATAAATTCCTTGGAATATGGGCCATTTCCTTTGAACAGATACTTCTGTGATATACCTAATGCTGATAAGATTGGCCTGTAGGCCTGCATCTTAAGTCAAGGGGCCACTGTGATACAGTGCACAGCACCTGCTTTTTGCCTAGTGGAGAATTTTAGCAACACTCCATCAGAAATTTTGCTCAAAAAATGAAATACATTATCCCTCCATACCTCCTCAGCTTTGCCATCCCTTTCGTTTCCCCCTCACATCCATTTCAGAATTAAAGCTACACTTTTGTTATTGCAAGTTCAATAAATTTAAATTATTATACCTAATTGAATCATACGTAGAGCTATATATCTGTTTCCATTTGTACACAGAAATTAAAATTATATTTGCTTAGAAGCACCATAGGTAAAAACCTTAAGCATTCATTTTTCTTATTTTATTTATTTATTTTTATTGATTCTCTCACCATCTGATATAGTTTTGAAAAAGCACTACAAAGGCAGAAGGTCAATGCAAATGAAAAGAAAGAGGTGTGGACAGTCCATAAATTGGATCATTTGTGTTGAAAAACTGATACTTTAACTCTACTGAGTTGTGTCCTATGCCCCACTTGGAAAACTCACAATCTCACAGAAGTTAGAAAGCTCCTTCCCTCTCCACATGTCACTGATTGTCAGTCACTAGGAGAAAGCTGAACAGGTACACAGCCCAGATTCCTGCAATGTTCAGAAAGTTTGACAAATACAGATGGTGTATTCTAAGAGACAGGAAAATAGATATTTTTCATCTAGTGGAAAACTGCTATCTACAATACGGAGTTTTTTCTGTGTAAGTTTCCTTATACTGACATTTGGAAAATACCATTATTCACAGATGGGAAGAATAGTCTACTAGCAGTAGAATTAGAGGAGTTTGCCATTTTTTAATAGGCAAAGCACCAATCCCAAGGTGTGTACTATTAATATGTATATTTTGCTAATTGTATTCTAAAATAGGATATTTTATATTATGATAGTCTTTTCCATTAAAATTTTCATTTCTCTTCGTTTTTTGTATAGACAATGTTTTGCTGCTGTTATCCAGAATTAACCTTTGATTTTGAGGAGTGACTTTAAAGTTTGGCAGAAAAGAAGCAGAGTCAAGGTAGGAAAATGTTTACTTTGGAAGCTTAGGCCTTTAAAGAAAACAAACAAAGTAAAAATTTGCCTATTATTTCAAACTGTTCATACATGGTGGTCCATAAACTGGATCATTTGTATATACCTATCGGCCACCAAAGTATATACTTTATTTCTAAAGCCAAATGGAAACCTAAGTATTCAGTTGAAATTTCAGTGCATACCTATTCTGTTTACCTCTATACTCTCTGGCTCTTTAAATTCACAAAAGGTACCTCAGAAGTTGGGAAAATGTCTAAAATTAGCATTCATGCCTAAGTCTCTGTACTCCAGAGTTTCACTCATATTTTCCCCCTCTGCCAAAGTATAGCAATATCAGTATTGAGAAAAATAATGAATATTTGCTCATAACTAAACATTATATTCAACACTCCCCAATGTTACCTTTATTCTCTAAGAATATGGCTCAGAAAAGATTATTAATATTTTTTATAGTAAAAATAAAATTATTTTAATTACGGAGTATTTGTGTTATAAATGCTGCCAACAGGTAGAAAAAAAGTTTGTGTTCAATTTGTTTCTCTTGTTTTTCCTCTTCCTTGTCCAACAACAAAAATTTCTTGTCCTTAGGACCAGGAATTGCTTCAGTAAAGTTGCAAGATACCAAATCAACCTACAAAAATGAATAGCATTTCTATATCATAGAAATGAAACAGCTGAAACAAGAGAGCAATCCCATTTACAATAGCTACAAAAAAAAGGGATCAATTTCACCAAGGAGATAAAAAATCTCTATAAGGTAAAAACCATAAAACACTGATGAAAGAAGTTGAAAAGGACACAAATGGAATGTCATCCCATGCTCATGAAGTGGAAGAATTAATATGATTAAAATAAACATACTTCCCAAAGCAATCTACATATTCAATTCAGTCTATACCAAAATAACAAATGTCATTTTTCACAGAAATAGAAAAAAAATCCTAAAATTTGTATGGAACCAAAAAAGATCCTGAATAGTCAAATTCTGAGCAAACAGGGCAATGCTGGAGGTATTACACTAACTGAATGCAAAATACATTTTCATTGTAAGACTATAATAAACAAAACAGTATGATATTGATATAAAAATAGACACAGACAAATGGAACAGAATAGAGAAACTAGAAACAAATCCACATATTTACAGCCAATTGATTTTTGACAAAGACATTAGGAACATACACTGGGGAAAGAACACTCTCTTTGATAAATGGTGCTGGGAAAATTGGATGTCCATATACAGAGGAATGAAATTGGACTCCTATCTCTCATGATATACAAAAATCAACTCAAAATGATTAAAGATTTACATGTAAGACCTGAAACTATACCAAGCAAATGGAAAACAAAAAAAGGCAGGGGTTGCAATCCTAGTCTCTGATAAAACAGACTTTAGACCAACAAAGATCAAAAGAGACAAAGAAGGCCATTACATAATGGTAAAGGGATCAATTCAACAAGAGGAGCTAACTATCCTAAATATATATGCACCCAATACAGGAGCACCCAGATTCATAAAGCAAGTCCTGAGTGACCTACAAAGAGACTTAGACTCCCACACATTAATAATGGGAGACTTTAACACCCCACTGTCAACATTAGACAGATCAACGAGACAGAAAGTCAACAAGGATACCCAGGAATTGAACTCAGCTCTGCACCAAGCGGACCTAATAGACATCTACAGAACTCTCCACCCCAAATCAACAGAATATACATTTTTT
This sequence comes from Homo sapiens, assembly GCF_000001405.40. NCBI lineage: Eukaryota > Metazoa > Chordata > Mammalia > Primates > Hominidae > Homo > Homo sapiens. The sequence goes on along the minus strand of NC_000004.12, from coordinate 155,285,310 downwards.
TCAGCACCACACCACACCTATTCCAAAATTGACCACATACTTGGAAGTAAAGCTCTCCTCAGCAAATGTAAAAGAACAGAAATTATAACAAACTATCTCTCAGACCACAGTGCAATCAAACTAGAACTCAGGATTAAGAATCTCACTCAAAACCGCTCAACTACATGGAAACTGAACAACCTGCTCCTGAATGACTACTGGGTACATAACGAAATGAAGGCAGAAATAAAGATGTTCTTTGAAACCAACGAGAACAAAGACACAACATACCAGAATCTCTGGGACGCATTCAA